>NC_000002.12:188398708-188701739 GCF_000001405.40 Homo sapiens
ACTTATTACACTGAAGCTTTGACTTTCTTAGAGGTCACATTCTTTATAAAATGGCTTAATTTGCTTTTACAGCATGATTTATATTGAGAAAATTTAGTTTGGTGAAAAATAAAAAATATTTTCATGAGAATAATTTTTGTGTGTAAAGATTGAGCTAAAGGAGGGAGAAGAGTAGGATTTGCATTAATATCTACAATGCATGAAAAAATGGAAGTGGCTATCTTAGAGAAGGAAATTGGCAAATCATGAATTTTAAATTGCATAGTTTATCAGTTAGGTAGCCTGACAATCTAAACTAGAAACTTTTTGATCAGGCAACCATCTGTGAAACAACACCTATTTATACAAGCAATCTGTGCTATGTACTAATCACATCTACATTTGAAGAGTCTCTTATTCTTAGATCACAAGTAACAGAAACTAGTTCTGTCTGTTTAAACAAAAAATGCATTTTGCTGAAAGGATATAACTTAGCACATAAAATTTGAGGGTAATCAGATGAAACAGTTCTCAGAAAAGACAGGAGCCAGACTGTTCTAGGCATCTAGAGATCAGGAAGTGGAGAGAAACAGCAGTGGGTACTTCTGTGGAGCTAAATATGGACCAATAGTATTTTTTAATGTTCTTCCTCTCACACTCACAAAGGGAGTCAGAATGGCTGAGTTTGAGTCATTTGCCCCCTGCCAGGAACCACGGCAACTGATTAACAGTTCTCAAAAGACTGCCTGTACTAGGAGAGAGTAGGTCCCAAAGGCAACTTTAAAGTTCTGGAACCAAGACGGAGGGCGAATATGGGGGCAAATAAAAACAATAGATACCTCCTAAAACTCTTTTTCATAAGTGTTATTTAAAGCCATCAAACTGTCCAGGTGCAGTGGCTTATATCTGTAATCCCAGCACTTTTGGAGTCTGAGATGGGAGGATTGCTTGAGGCCAGAACTTTGAGACCAGCCTGGGCAACATAGACCCCTGTCCCTACAAGAAAAAAAAAAAAAAAAAAAAAAAACATCAAACTGTAATAACAATAAAATGTCATATAATAAAGATTTTGCCAGTAAAGTGAGTATAGGTGAAATAATAATGTTGCTTAGTTCTCAATAGGTATCTACTATCTTGAAAAATTCATTTGTTCTTTCTTGTGTACATACTTGTATTTACTAATTGCCTATCATATGTCAATTGCTATCCTTGACAATGAGCATAACATTATAAACAATGGAGTTATTCCTTGCTTTTATGGAGTTTATAGTCTAGTGAAATAGAAATAAAACCACTAATATATTGCAATAAGTCTAAGATAGGAGGCATAGAACTATAAACAGAGTGGCTTAAAACAACAAAAATTCATTGTATAACAGTTATGGAGGATAGAAGCTCAAAACCTAGGTACCAGGGGTCACTGTCCCTCCAAAGGCTCTAGGGGAGGATCCTTCTTTTTTTTCCAGCTTCTAGTGGCTCCTTGTATTGCTTGATTTTAGGCAACATAACTCCAATCTCTGCTTCCATCTTGACATGACCTTCTTCCCTGTGTTTCTCTATATTCTTTCCTCTTCTTATAAACATATCAGTCATTGTATTTAGGGCCCATCCTAAATCCAGAATAATTTTATCTTAAGATTCTGAACTGATTGCATCTACAAAGACCATATTTCCAAACAAGGTCACACTCAGAGGTTCTGGGTGAACATGAACTTTTGTGGGGCACTATTGAACTACCATAGTGGGGTACATTGTTCTGTTGGTGTTCCTAGCAGGGTCTGGGTAAGAGGTGGAGAGGAGAGATGATGGTGACGAGGCTAGTGTAACAGATGGTAAGGAAACATGTAAGGGATTTGACATTATCCTAAATGTAGTGGAGTGCCACTGGAGGGAATTAAGCAGGTGGATGACCTAATCAGATTTGTGTTTTACAAAGATCATATTGGATACAATGTGGAGACAAGGAGTAACTAAGCAATGCTGGAAGAAAAAAGCTAGCTAGGATATTCTATAGTAATTTAGGTTTGAAATGATGATGACTTGGAGAAGGACATGCTGTTGGGAATGAAGAACAATAAATTCAATTCTGGTATGTTTACAAAAGTGGAATGGGCTTTGTGTGAATTAGAGACAAAGGATGCTAGAGGAATCACATGTAATATGGCCCAGGCTGCTGGGTTCTGAGACTATGTGGATGAAAGTTCTAGGCTCTGAAATTGGAAGAGAGTGGTGTGTTTGTGTGTGTGTGTGTGTGTGTGTGTGTGTGTGTGTGTGTGTGTAAGAGAGGGAGAGAGAGGGTAAATAATGAATCAGTTTTGGATATTTCTTTTAGTTTTGGTTGCTGTGAGACTTCCAAGTGAGCATGTTCAATAGCCAGTTGTCTAGTGGCCTGTATGAGACTAGTGATGTTGAATAAACAAATCTTAGTATGTTAGTATATAAATGGTACCTGAAATTGTTAGAGAATTGAAAAAAGTATATATGATTACTATAGCCAATAAAGGAGTATTATGCGGAATTAAATAATGACATATAGAAATAATTTTTAATAGCATATGAAATAACTATTATAAAAAGCTGAGTGAAAAGAAGAAAACTAGGACACAGCTGTATCTATAGTAAGATCTCGATACTATATATTTGGCTACTTTTAATAATAAACACTATAAGTGAATGCACTTAAATGTAGTGGCTATTTCTGGGTGCTTTTATTTATGTATTTATTTTTACTTATTTTTAAAGTACAGTGTGTTCAATGAGCATATAGTACTTTTGTAGCCAGAAAAAATCCAATTTTTATAAGTTGTTAGCACATATAATGTACCTGAAATTGGATATTCATAGCATGGTATTTTTAAACATGAGTGATTAATTTCAAAGATTGAGCATCTTTTGATTTATGAGAAAAAAAAGTTGTGGGAGAAAAAGGATTATACCATCTGAGCCAAGTATTTATATAACACCTCAAAATATATATGGGGATAGTATTGTATGTCCTTAGGTTAAGTAGCTATTTGAGAAATCAGGATAAAAATGCTACTTTTGGACATAAAGTAGAAAATAACTTTAGCTTGAAGCATTTTTACTTGATTTTGCAAACCATATCTGTGAATAAGCAATTTAATAAGACACAGAAATAGATCATTTTATGTAAGTTGTCATTAGTAATAATGCCAGGTTGCCTTATGTAAGGTGATTAGACATAACATTCCTGTGCAGATTTTACTAATTTCTGTAAGACTTTAATGGTATTTAGATTTCTGGAATGCAAAGCTAAAGCTTTAATATTAAATCTACTTTACATATCCACGGGTTGTGCCATGAGAACAGAACGTATTTGCACATTCTTCTTTTCTCTCCCTTCCCCTCCCCTTCCAAGTTTCAGAATATTAATTATTCCATTAACACGTAATGGATGATATGATGATGCGTTTAAAACACTCACATCATCTTTAGGCTATTTTGATGGTAACAGAGGATAATTAATGCCTTGTAATAACTTTAATAAAAGGCTGAAAGCCGGCTAGTACCTACAGTAAGGAAAATCATTTGATACTTATGTAGGAGGTTTTGTTTTGTTCTTCACGTTTTTGATCATTGCTTAGGTATTATTATTTGCTTTGACTCCTCAATAAAATTATTTACTAACCTTGACCTGGGATGAAGCATAAAAATTTTATCATTTAAGTAAGCTACAAAACTCGAACATTCTTTTACTTGCTGATGGCTATGAAATAAGCAGACCCTCTTTCTTTAAAAATAATTTTGAAAAGACTCTAGTAATAGATATACTAGAATTAAATTTTTTGGTTAGTTTTTTATAAAAATATAGGTAATAATAATTTTGATAGAAAAGAAACAAGCTTAGATTTCAATAGAGATTTGGAGTCTTTTAAAGCGAGTTTACATTACTTATATCCTTTAATTAGACTATGCTGGGAATGTTTAAATGACTTTCTCTATACAAAATTTTGGCTTAGTTAGGAGTACAAACTTGGCCTTCCTCTAGACTATCTATCTGCTTAATAGGCCTTTTCTTTCCCCCTTCTAGAGTGGAATTTTCTAAATTCCTGAGTGAGTTTTGAAATCTGCCCTAGGATTTTTAACAGTAATAATAATAATAATAATGGCCAACACTTACATATTACATTGTATATGTCAGGCACTGTCCTAAGCTGTCTGCACAAATTAACACATTTAATCTTCATAGGGAAATTTTGTTTACAGATGAGAAAGCTTATGTACAAAAAGGGAAAGTAAATTTACCTAAGGTCCAATGGCAAAGATGGGATTAGAACCCAGTTGTAGTCCTTGTTTTATTCATTACATGCTACTGCTTGTAGAAGGCATACATTAACATGAGAGAAAGTATATCAATCCAAAAATGTCAAACACCTAGTCAGTATTCCCTTGTCATCTTATTATGAGACTATCTGACATTCAGCTCTATGCTAGACATATTACATATTTAATCTTCTCCTACACTTTTGTACCCTAAGTCTCTCATATTTCATTCATTTCAGATTCCTTAACTCCTCTCTCCTAATACTCGTTTTATAGTTTTATTTACATGATTTCTAGTATATATCATTACGAAGAGATTCCAAGGTAAATCTCTTGTTTTTTTAATTAAAAAATGAAAATATCATTTTGAGATAGTAACACATAAATATATTGTTACGTGCCCTAAATTAACATGAAGGAAAACAACAGTAGTAAATGCAGGATAATGAAGTGATTCAAAGAACTTTTGGTATCCCCTTTTATAATTTAAACTTACATTTGATAAATCTATGATAAACGAAGCACACACAGGACTCTTCCACTTATACTTCAAATTCTTAGATAGAAGAAAAAATAAATATGGTATATATAACTCACTTCAGAACTATGCAGGAAAATAAATCAGAGAACTCTCAGTAGACCAAAAAGTATGAGATATCCAGAAAGGAGACTGTATTAGATTTGAGAAGGAAGCCACAGCTAAATCTATGCACAGGGGAGGACTGTCAACCAAAAGGTGGCTGTGGCACTAAGTCTGTACCATACTGAGAAATGGTAGGCTCCTGATTTTTGGAATAGCAGTGAGCCCAGGGAGAAGTAACTCATTGCTAAGTTGGGACACAGCAGAGGAGCAATCAAGTATTCAAACCTGAAAATCTCCTGTTTATCTTCTGTGGTCTAGACAGCAAGGATATGAGTTTGGACTGGAGAAAACCAGTGAAGTATTCAGATGATTAGCAATGGTGAGGATGATCTGGGAACTCATTTCCAGGACACTCACTACTGAAATTGCTCTTTTTCAGTGTGTCTCACCATTCCCCCACTCTCACTAAAGACAGACTTATAGCACTGAGATAGCAAGAGTTAATAAAGTAAGTAGAGTGCAATATATATGTAACAGCAGAGGAATCTAAGAATCTAATCTAAGATTCCTAATCTAAAAGGGAGTCAAGCAGAAAAAAGTGAACAAAAAATTTGATCACTAATGTTTTTAAAAGAAACCCTCAATAAATTCATAATTATAAAGACTGGTTGTCAGCAAGATGGGCTTTCTAGTGCTTGCTCCCCCACTGAAATAACAATTTGAACAACTATCCATGCATGCAAATACCTTCAGAAGAGCTAAGGAAACTGAGTGTAGCATAGAAATAAGATGCATAGAAGACAGTTAAAAGGACAGACACTCTTTACATTACCCGCATCACTCATTCCCCAACCCCAGCCCTCTTGGTGTGGAGACAGATACTCTCTACTTGGGGCAAGGAGAGAGAAGTGAGCCCTGGGTTTTGCCTCGGATCTGAACACTGGGTCCACCCCAGGAAAACCCAGTGTTGGGCAGGTTTCCAAAGCCTCAGACTCCAGGTTGGAATCTGCAGAGTGAGTCACAAGGCCTGCCCTGGTACCAGGACAGATCCCTCAGCCTCAGGCTTCAAGCTTGCCAAGGGGACTTTATCTCTGGGCCCACCCCGTTGTTAGGCTGACCCCTGTGGCCCTAGGCCATGGACTGGTCCAGCATTAGACTGGTCCCAGCAGCCCTGGGCTTTGGGACTACCATAGACCAGGCCAGCCCCCGAGTCTCCATCTCTAGGCTGCCACCTGTGGACCCAGGCTGCAGGCCCACCCTAGGTTCCAGACCAGCTCCAAGCCAGGTTGGCCCATGCAACCCAGGCTTCAGGGCCACCCTGGCATCAGATCAGCACCCTTGACCTCAGGTGCTAGGCTTTCGACTGTAGACACAGGCTCTAAGCCTGCCTGGTGCCAGGCTGGCCCCTGTGGCTCCATCCTCCAGGCTAGCCCTTGTGGTTGCATATCCCAGCAGACTCAGCCAGGGTCTGGGACTGTTCCAGCTGATCCAGGGTCCAGGTCCACCTCAGTAGATTCCAGAAACTGGGCTTAGCCCCATGGACCTAGGCTCCAGAACTGCTCCCATGCGAGGTTTCAGACTGGTCTCTGTGGCCCCAGAATTAAGGCCAGTGCTTGCAGACCTATCCTCTAGGATAGAACCCAAACACCCATGCCCAGCCTGGCCCCATGGATTCAGGCTCCAAGTTGGTCCCCAAAGCCCCAGGCTCCAGGCCTGCACCCATGATCTCAGCCCCCTGATTGGCTCTCACAGACTCAGACATCATGTCTTTCCCAGCACAGGTCAGCTATAGGCTCTAGGCTAGTTCCCATGGCATCAGGCTTTAATAGATTCAGGGTCCACACCTGCTCCAGCACACCCAAGCTCTAGGCCCAGCCCTATGGACTGAGGCTCCAGGCCCACTCCAGCCTCAGGTCAGCCCTCACAGACTTAGGCTCCAGGCCTGTCCTAGTGCCTGGCTGGCCCCTGTCAGTTCAGGCACAAGACCCACTGCAGTGCCAGGTTAGCTCTGTTGGACCCAGGCTTCAGGCCAGCCCTCAGTGATGTAGGTTCCAGACCCAATTCCACAGAACCTTTAACAGCTCCATGCCAGTGGATCCAGGCCCCAAGCTTACATTCAGGGACTCAGGCACCAGGTCTGCCCATTGCATTGATGCAGTTACCAGGCCAGCTTACATAAGGACCCCAGCAGCAAGCCTGCCTGTGGACCATACCAAATGATCTACTCAGAATTTCTGGATGGGCTGATTGGTGAAGGCTTACCCAAACAAAACTAGTCTGCAAAGACTGGAAAAGTCCTGGTTTCTTCAAATGTGCAGACATCAACTCATGCCACAAGGTTAAGAACAGTCATAGAAACATGACATCACATGATAAAATGAAGTTCCATTAACTGACACTAAAGAAATGCAGATGTATGAACCAACTGAAAGAGAATTAAAAATACGGTCATGTCACTTAAGGATGTAGATACTTTCTGAAAAATGTTCACTGTTAAGCAATTTCATCCTTGTATGAACATCATAGGGTGTACTTATGCAAATCTAGAAGATATAGCCTACTATGCCCCTATAGTGTAGCTGATTGCTACATATACCTATATGGTATATATCAAATAGTATTTTGTGCCATATACCTATATGGTATAGCCTATTGCTCCTAGGCTACAAACCTGTACAGCATGTACATACTGACTATATGCAGAATACTATAGGCAGTTGTAACACAATGGTAAGTATTTGTGTATCTAAATACAGAAGAGGTACAGTGAAAATACTATATTATAATCTTATGGGACAGGACCACCATCATGTATTTGGTACACCATTAACCAAAATTTTGATATGCAACACATGACTGTAATTGTTTTAGGAAAGCTCAGTGAAGTTGAAGAAAAAACAAAAATACAATCCAACAAAATTACAAAAATAATGGATTACTAAAATAAATTTAAAAGAGAAGTCAAACTAATTTTTAAAAAACATAGAAATTATGGAGCTGAAAAATACAATTAATGAAATAAAAAATGCAATAGAGAGTGTCAGCAGCAGAGTTGTTCAAACAGAAAAAAAATCTGTAAACTTGAAGATAGGTTATTCGAAAATATACAGTTAGAGAACAAAACAAAACAAAAAATAAAAAGGAATGAAGAAATATTACAAGACTTATGGGACAGCATCAGAAGAACAAATGTTCAAGTTATCAGAGTTCATGAGGAAGAAAAATACAAAGGGGAAGAAAATTTAAAGAATAAGAGAACATTTAAAGAAACTTATTTAAAGGAGAAGAAAAAGACAAAGGGGAAGAAAACTTTCTAAGCCTGGTGAGAAATAAATATCCAGGTACAGAAAAATGAAAAATCTCTAATTAGATAAATCCAAATAAAAGTATACCAATATATATTATAATTAAGCTGTGAAAATCAAAGACAGAGAATCCTGAAAGCAACAAGAGAGAAGAAACATATCACACATAAGGGAGTTTCAAAGAGGCCAGCAGCAAACTTCTCAGCAGGGGCATTCCAGGCCAGGAGAGAGTGGTGTGGTAGCTTCAAAATGCTGAGGGAAAAAAACTGCCAACCAAGAATATTTTACCTGGAAGAGCTCTTCTTTAGAAATGAAAGAGAGATAAATACTTTTCAGGACAAACAAAAGCTGAGGGAGTTCAGTACCACCAGACCTATCTTACAAGAATTGCTAAATGAAATTCTCAAAGCTTAAAGAAAAGGATGCTAATTACTACCATGAAAACAGGAAAATATAAAATTCACTGGTAAAAGTAAATACACAGTCTAATTCAGAATATTCTAATCCTGTAATGGTGACATGTAAATCACCTGTATTTTCAGTATGAAAGCTAAAAGACAAAGCTATTAAAAAGTAGTAATAACTACAATAATTATTTAAGGATTACACAGTGTAAAAGGATGTAAATTATGACATCAAAAACATAAAATGTGAGTGATATGGTAAAAGTGTAGCATTTCTGTATGTAGTCAAAATTAATTTTATCAGTTTAAAATAGCCTCTTTTAACTGTAAGGTGTCTTGTGTAAGCCTGCTGGCAACCACAAAGCAAAACCTCTAGTAAATGCACAAATAAGAAAAAGTAGGGAATCAGAACATACTACCAGAGAAAATAATCTCAAAGGAAGACAGCAACAAAGGAAGAAAGGAACAAAGGATGTACAAAACAACTAGAAAAATATTAACAAAATGGCAGTAATAAATCGTTTCCTATCAATAATTACCTTGAATGTTAATGGATTAAATTCTCCCATCAAAAGACATAGAGTGGATGAATGGATTAAAAAAAACAAGTCCCAACTATATGCTTTCTACAAGAAACTTATTTAATTTTTAAGTACACACACAGATTAAAAGTAAAAGGATGCAAAAAGAAATTCCATGTAAATGGAAACCAAAAGAGAGCAGAGGTAGTGCTGTGATTTGAAAATGTCCCCCAAATTTCATGTTGATAGCTCAGTCCCCAAATTCATATGTTTACTGGAGGTAGGGCCTTTGGGAGGTAATTAAGATTAGATGAGGTTATCAGGGTGAGGCCAATGAGATGGGACTGGTGTCTTTACAAGCAGCAGAAGAGAGACCGGAGCTAACACATTTGCTCTGTCTTGCCATGTGATGCCTCCCACCATTGTCATGATGTAGCAGGAAGGCCCTCACCAGATGCCAGCACCATACTCTTGGACATCTCAGCCTCTAGAACTGCGAGTTAAATAAACTTCTATTGTTTATTATTTACTTAGTGCATGGTATTCTGTTATAGTAACAGAAAATGGACTAGGACAGGTAACTATACTTTTATCAGATAAAAGAGACATTAAGTCAAAAACTGTAAAATAAGAAAAATAAGGTCATTATATAATGACAAAGGGACCAATTCATCAATAAGATGTAAAATTTTTAAGTATATATGTACCAAACAGTGGAGCACTTAAATATATGAAGCAAATATTAATAGACCTGAAGAGAGAGATAGACTGTAGTACAATAATATTAGGGGACTTTGATACCCCACTTTCAACAATGGACAGATTATCTAGACAGAAAACAATAAGGAAACATTGGACTTGAACTTCTGTTTAGACCAAGCGGACCAGACAGACATATAAAGAAGATTCTATCAAACAGCATCAGCATACACATTTTTCTCAAGTGCACGTGGAACATTCTCCATGATAGATCATATCTTAGATGATGATACAAGTGATAACAAATTTAAGAAGAATGAAGTCATTTCAAGTATCTTTTCCATTCACAGTGGTGTAAAACTGGAAATCAATCACAGGAGGAATTTTGGGAAATAAATATGTGGTAATTAAACCAACGGGTCAAAAAAGAAATTGAAAATTAAAAAATATCTTTAGACAAGTGAAAATGGAAGCACAATATACCAAAACTTATGGATTGTAGCAAAACAGTTCTAAGAAGAAAGTTTAGGGCAGTAAACAACTGTATCAAAAAAGAAAGAAAAAGAAGCAACCTAAAATTACACCTTGATGACTTAGTAAAAGAAGAAAATTCTAAGCCCAACTCAGTAGAAGGAAAAAAATAATAAAAATCAGTGCAAATAAATGAAATGGAGAATAGGACAACAATAACAAAGAGCAACAAACTAAGAGTTGTTTGTAGAAAAGCAAAATGAATCAACAAGCCTTTAAACTAAAAAACTCAAATAAAATCAGAAATGAAAGAGGAGAAACTACAACTGATACCATGGATATACAAAGGATCATGAAAGACTGCTATGAACAACAATATAACAATAACTTGGATAAGGTAGAAGTAATGGACACATTTCTAGATATATTCAACCTACTTATGCTAAATCAGGAATCAACAGAAAATCTGAACAGACCAATAATGAATAATGAGATTGAATCAGTAATAAAATTTCTCCCATGAAGGAAAAGCCCAGGACTTAATGCCTTCATTAATGGATTCTACCAAACATTTAGATAAGAATTAATACCAATTCTTTTCAATTTTTTTTTCCAAAAATTGAAGAAGAAAGAATACTTCCAAACTCATTTTATGAGGCCAGCATTACCTCAATACCAAAGCCAGACAAAGTCACTGCAAGAAATGAAAATTACAGGCCAATATCCCTGATGTACATGGATGTAAAAATTCTCAACAAAATACTAGCATACTGAATTCAACAGCATGTTAAAAGAATCATTCACCATGATCAAGTGGGAATTTGTTTGGTATTCAAGGATGATTATTCAACATATACGCATGTAATAATGTAATATAATACAACATAGTAACAGAATGAAATCCCTATGAAAACAGCAAAAGACCTTGAATAGCCAAAGCAATCTAGAGCAAAATGAACAAAGCTGGAAGCATCACACTACCTGATTTCAAAATATACTACAAAGTTACAAAACAGGATGGTTCTGGCATAAAAGAACAGACACATAAGCCAATGAAGCAGGATAAAGTGCCCAGAAATAAATTCCCACATTTACAGTTAATTGATTTTCAACAAAGATTCCAAGAACACACAGTGGAGAAAGGACAGTATCTTCAATAAACAGTGCTGGAAAAACTGGACAGTTGCATGGAGAAGAATGAAATTAGACTGTCATTTCATGTCACATACAAAAATAAAAAAAAACTCAAAATGATTTAAAGACTCAAACATAAGACCTCAGACTATAAAACTACTAGAAGAAAACAAAGGGGAAAAGCCCTGTGACATTGGTTTGGGTAAAGATTTATTAGATATATTCACAGAAGCAAAGGCAAGAGTAGGCAAATGGTATTACATCAAAAATAAAAGGCTTCTGGATAGCCAAGGAAACAATCAACAAAGTGAAGAGACAACCTATGGAACGGGAGAATGTATTTGCAAACCATAAATCTGATAAGGGGTTAATAGCCAAATATATAAGAAATTCAAAAAACTCAATGGCAAAGAAACAAATAACCCAATTAAAGAATGAGCAAATGACCTGAATAGACATTTCTCAGAAGAAAACATACAGATGACCAACAGGTATATGAAAAGATGCTTTCCTCATGACTAATCATGAGGAAAATGCAAATTAAAACCACAATGAGCTATCATCTCATTAGACGTAGGAAGAGCCCAAAGTGGCTATGTGGCAATCTTAACTTCCAGTTTAATGGAATCATTGTTGTGTCCTCTGGAACTAAGACCTCTAGGTTAGCAGATGGAAGAGGTCTGTGGGAGTTCACTCAGGCTGGTGGGAAACATTTTAAAGATAGTTATAAGAAATAGGCACAGACCTTCATGGAAGGCTGGGAGGTTTGCATAAGCTCCAGTAATAGATCTGGCTGAAGGCAGCCTAATCCTTACCTTGAGTAAATAACTTAAAGTAGATACAGAGGAATGTAAGGGAGTTTAGCTAAATAGCTTGTTTACTCATGTGGTCATAAGACCTACTTTTGATTACCCTTGGGTGCATAATTGCTCTCTACTTGGGAGGTCGGCAATGTCAATTACCCTCTAGTGGTGTTTACTCAAGACCTTTGTCATTTAATCTATAGTGAATAAATGTGAGCTTCACTGGCTGATCGGGGCATGGCTGTGACTCTTTACAGCACCCTTCTTGGTGTCTGTGAGTGCCCGGGACCCTCAGCCAGACTGACAAGCAAAATATCTGTGTCAGCGTATGTTATTCATCCATCGTTGGGTCAGGGTCTGTGGGACAGACCCCCGCAGGGGTCCAGTAAAAACCTGTCACCAAGTAGCTGGCTGATCAGCCTGGATATGGTGCCATATCGAAGGCTTAGTGTTGGTCTCTGCTGCTGACAAATTGGGCACTCAGTGGTGGCCATAGCCAGGTCAGACTTGATGAGTGGAAGTCCATGTTGCTGAGCCCATGCCTAACCTCCATCCCTGCCATCATGGCCACTTTGTTCACGAGTCCACTGGGTGATGAAAGGGGTGGCTGGGGAAATAGGCTGAGTGGTGTCCACAGAAAGGGTCATCCTACCCAGTTGATTATTAAAATCCTCCTCTTCTGAGGTCACCCTTTGTTGAGCATTCACGTAAGATAACAAATATCTTCACTTTGTTTTTAACCACTAAGAGAATTTCATCCACATACCTCTTCCCCAAATGTCCTTGTTTCCAATTTTTCAATCATGTTTCTTGCAAGTTCCTGACCATCCAGCCAAACCATTGGCTACAGCCCATGAATCAGTATATAATCACACATCTGGCCATTTCTTCTTCTGTGCAAAGTGCACAACAAGGTGCACTGCTCGAAATTCTGCCCACTGGGAAGATTTCCCTTCTTCTGTCCTTCAGGTATGTCCTAGAAAGGGGCTCTAGTGCTGCAGCTGTCCATTTTGGGGTGGCATCTGTGTATTGTGCAGAACCATCTGTAAACCAGGCCCTAGTCTTCTCTTCCTCTGTGAACTGATCATAGGGAACTCCCCGTGAGGCCATCAGTGCAGGCTCAGGGAGAGAAGGCAGGGTGGCAGGAGTGGATACCATGAGCCTTTGAACCACTTCCTTATGTAACTTACTTGTGCCTTCAGACCTGCTTAAGTTCACAATTCCGCTGAGCTGGGGAGGCCTCAGGAAACTTATAGTCATGGTGGAAGGGGAAGCAAACACATCCTTCTCATGGCAGTAGGAAGGGGAAGTGCCCAGCAAAAGGGGGAGAAGCCCTTATAAAACCATCAGATCTCGTGAGAACTCACTCACTTTCATGAGAATAGCAAAAGGTTAACCGCCCCCATGATTAAATTACCTCCCACGGGTAATTTAATGCACGCCTACCCTTCCTTACCTTCATTGTGAAGTAATAGTGTGATTTCATCTTCACATCCGCTTCAGTGACCCCAGCTAACACTGTAACTCTCTTCTTAGCCTGTTGACTCAGAGGTAGGAAGAGCCCAAAGTAGCTGGTGGCAATCTTAACTTCCAGTTTAATGGAATCATTGTTGTGTCCTCTGGAACTCCCACGGTTTCCCTCCCATAACACCTGGTGATTATGGGAGCCACAATTGAAGATGAGATTTGGGTGGGGACACAGCCAAACCATATCACAAACCCTTTACGATACTGTTGAAGTGGTATTGGGCATCTTTTATCCACTTCCCTTGAGAGCACTCCGTATACTGCCAAGGAGACTTGAAGCCTTTTGAATTCCATTGTTCTTTCCAACTTTGCAAAATTATTTGAGTTCACCAATGAATTAAGCTATTTTAGTAACAAGTAGGTATGATTTCATGTGACACAGGAATAAAGTCAATCACATATATTATTTAATGTATGACTTAAAACCCCACTCTTTAGTGCCTGCTTTGTTTCTGGTACTGATATAATTTGTACTTTCATATGCTGTATCCAGAAACTCAACTCTTAAAAATAACTTACCAAATTTTTTTTAAAATCTTAAAAAATAACTTACCAAATCTATTCACAGTGCAGAGGAGAAAACTAAAGTCTAGAGGATTAAGTGATTTGTCCAAATACATTCAGCAATGTAACACTGGAGACAGTTAAACTCAGGCTCTTCCGATTGAAAATTGATCATTTTTTCATAATACTTTTAATATATGTTATGATTTATGCATATTGCTGAAATTTTCAGAAATAATATGAGATGCATAAGAGTGCAGTCTAAGATGTGGCTTCTTCACATCACTCGTTGGGATCACTGGGTCAAATGGTGTTTCTAGTTCTAGATCCTTGAGGAATCGCCACACTGTCTTCCACAATGGTTGAACTAGTTTACACTCCCAACAGTGTAAAAGCATTCCTATTTCTCCACATCCTCTCCAGCATCTGTTGTTTCCTGACTTTAATGATCGCCATTCTAACTGGTGTGAGATGGTATCTCATTGTGGTTTTGATTTGCATTTCTCTGCTGACCAGTGATGATGAGCATTTTTTCATGTGTCTTTTGGCTGCATAAATGTCCTTTTTTGAAAAGTGTCTGTTCATATCCTTTGCCCACTTTTTGATGGGGTTGTTTGATTTTTTGTTGTAAATTTGTTTAAGGTCTTTGTATATATCTTAAGTATTTTTTAAAATTCTCATTATGTGTGCAATTATTTTTCCTCCGAATATCAGTCTTTCCTAACAGCATGTAAGCTCCATTGGGGTATAGTTTATTTCTGCCTTGTTCTTTCCTATCATAATGTCAGCCACAATATAAATTCCTAGTAAATAATGCTTACATAAGGAATTGAAAGATAGATGTGTTACTAATTGTAAAGGTTGGTTATTTATTGAGAGAGCTAAGGCTTACCCTTTTCATATAGGTGGGTTATTTTGTGTTTGTTAAGAGATGTTCCTATTTCAATTTTCTTGTTCAAAATGAATTTTTTAATGCATTAAAATAAAGTTAGTGTTGCCTTGTAAAAATGGGTTTAGTTGGAATGATTCATTGATTCTGTAATCCCAGCAAGTTGGGAGGCCGAGGCTGGCGGATCACAAGGTCAGGAGTTTGAGACCAGCCGGACCAACATGGTGAAACCCCATCTCTACTAAAAATACAAAAATTAGTCAGGCATGGTGGTGCGTGCCTGTAATCCCAGCTACTCAGGAAGCTGTGGCAGGAGAATTGCTTGAACCTGGGAGGCAGAGGTAGCAGTGCGCTAAGATCACGCCACTGCACTCCAGCCTGAGTGACAGAGCGAGACTCCATCTCAAAAAAAAAAAAAAAAAAAAGAAAAAGAAGAGAAATGGTTCATTGATTGATTTGTATATATTTCTAGTTGATGGCCAGTTTTTAGTTTTTGTTATATGTCTTCTTTACTGAAATTTGGGTCATATTCTTTGCGAAGAAGCTACATGAATACTTTTAAAAATAGGAATATTAACCACAGTTGTGTTTCCATTTGACAAATAATTTTTATGATTTATTAGTATGAATCTAGCCAGCAGGCACTTGTTCTAAATCATAACACTTCAGTAATCTTCATTGGAAAAAAACATAAGTTGTGTATTTTTTAGAACTCAGTTTAGCAAGAATTGAGTAAAGGATTTGAAATATAAGATGCTTGCCCTCCCAGAGTGCTCAAAAGAATGCCGAAGCTGGAAAGGCTAACGTGTCAGTAGCTTGGCAATTCCCCTGAGAACTCCATACTATTAATCATTAAAGGAGTTTTTGTAATATGTCAGGGGCTTACAATTTTGCTGTATTATGAAAACATTTTGTGACAGGAAGATAATTTCAATTTCTGTGTTAATGAATCTGTGTAAAAATTTTAATCACACAATTACAGAAAGAGTTCTGGTCTTTGGAAAACAAACTTTAGGTAATTAGAGTAATTTATAATTTCTTAAGTATAATTAATCTGCCTGGCTATTTTATAATTATAAGATGGGATTTTAACAGTGAATAGGTGGTGTCTGAGGGCCCCTTTCAATGCCTTTGTATGAAATGATAATTTATGGCCTTATGGAATAATGTTATATCAAGAGTAAATATGTTTCCATGTAGAATGTCTTAAGATGTTAGAATGCATTGTTTAAAGATGATTTATAGCAGTATTTAAGAACTTAAGCAGCACTGGTTTCATTTCACAATCCCAGAATTAGTTTACAAATACCTAAAATTCTTTACTATAGATTAATATGATACTGCTAATTTTCTTCAAAAGTCCTTTGGATCTTTTGCTAGAGAAAGGGGTGCATTTAAGGAAACTACACATTTCACAGATAAAGAGCACAATTTGGGGACTTAGAAAAAAAGATTATAGAATGAAGGCTACTTTGGTTCCTATATCTCAGGGCTAAGTAGAATGATATCTGATGAAATCTATTCCATCTCAGAAATAAAGCAACTTTATCTCAGAAGATTGCAGGGCTGTACATATCTGTCTGTGAAATGTAGCTGGAGATACTGAAAAGTTTAATGGTAATTCCTGGGGGTTAGTTTTTTGAAGACCCCCATATAATTTGGAGAGTGTGCCACTTACTCTGCGCCTTAGAAAATTAAAAAAAAAAAAGTAAGTTTGGGGAAAATGTTAACATCTGTTTAAATCTTTTGTCACTGTAGAGCAAAGCTGAAAAAAGGTATTGCAATAGGAGGCACAAATAGAAGAACCTTGAGTGTGATCTTAGAAAAGAAGACATGGATGAATATAGGTGAATTAGAATTGAAGCTGATGCCAATTTTCTGATTGTAAGTCCATCTTTTTCCATTATAGGATTAAAAGCACAAGATTGTTAAGACCTGAAAACACATACTAATTGAGTCCTGAAACTGAGTGTTAGAGTAATAATGAAAGGAAAATACTTTCATTATTTCAAAATACCCCAAGGTACCTTGGATTGAGTCCGATCATTCCCAGTTAAACATTAATTCCATTGTTTGCAGAGTGATACAAGTAACCAAGATGCCCCAGTGCTCTGTTAGAAGATTGTTGATTGACAAAGCTCCTTTCTGCAAATGTTTTGCCCATTCTGTGACTAATTCATAAAAGTTTGTTTGTTTTATTTTTAACCAATGAAAAGAGAAGGAAACTATCATCTAGAATAAAGTGGGAATATACTTTAGAATTTTTATTAAATTTATCTTTCTAGCATTTCTTATTAAGCAGTGTTTCCACTCTTCAAAATGAAATTCTTCTTAGGTGATTTTTCTTTCTTCCCCTCTCTCTTTTTCCTCCCTTGCTTCCTCCATCTTTTTTTCTCCCTTCCCCTGTCCCACACTACTTTCTTCTTTTTTCTCTTCCTTCTTTTGTTTTTCCTTTGGGGTGGGGTATTGTAGCCCTTTCAAAGTGATGAAAATATTCTATGATTAGATTATGGTGATAGTTACACGACTTTGTAAGTATTCTAAAAATCATTGAATTGTACATTTTCAATGACTGAAATCACTGAATTGTACATTTTCAATGACTGAAAGGCCAACTAGAGGTTAACTAAGGTGACTGGAGTGGGTAAAATACAGAACAGCCAGCAGCCTATTCTCATCTCTCATCTCAGATTGATTACAGCAAATCACAAGGCTAGACACTCAGTTTCAGGACTCAATTGCTATGTTCTTTCAGTTCTTACCAATTTTGTGCTTTTTAGTCTTGTGATGGAAGAGATAGGCTGACAATCAGAACCTTGGCATGGATCACAGCTTTAATTCACCTACATCAATTTGTGGTCTTTGTGTCCTCCATCCTGAGAAAGGAGACTGTCTGTGATAATTTAGAGACAGATTTGATCTTTATGAAGATAAGCAACAGGATAGTGAGCTCTTGAACATATAGTAGTTAGTAGAAAAGTGAACAAAAAGCACACAAAACACTTACTGAGTTTAATCAGATATAGTTAGGAAAACAGTTTGAGTATTTATTTTTGAAGTCTAGTAGACTGTATTCATTCTGAAGTAAATGCCATGTCACAATGGTGAATGAAAATTTAGTTTTTGAAAAAGTATTGTATGTTCGGTTTTTGAAAAAATTTTAGATACCTGGAAAATACTCTTTGTCTACATCAGGAAGTTTTTCAAAATACCTGAAAGTTAAATTCCATTATAAAACTAGGACAGTAGGAATCCATGCATCAAAATATATTTAACCTTATACAAATACAAGATTGTTTTGTTTTTATTGTGCTGTCAAAGTAGTGTCAGTTTGGTTGCTTTTGGTGCCTTGTCTCATTTATTATGACAGGAAGTTCCTTTTCCCATTCTCTCTTAGGACATGATGTGGCTGCATCTTGATTGACTATGGATGTTTCTGCAGAGCTTTTAAAGCATGGCTCATTGGATTATAAAGAATTGTTTTGTTATATGGTTGCTCAAGCTAGTGCTTTTGCTTGCATTACCCCAAAGTTTCTTTGTCACTTACTTCCTGTGCAGAAGTTGTCTACCTATTCTAGATTATGGAAATAACTCAGATGAGCTTCGTCAGCAAGAAGGAAGATGCATTTAACATTTTTTCCCAAGGCTAAACTATGTACTATAAGTTATTCGAATTAGATAAAAACAGGAAAAAAATATATCACTATAGAATGTCTAGAAAAGTGGTTTATGTTTGTTCAACTGTTCTTTCATTTAAAAATATTTCACTTAATTAAAAACTATTCTCTTGTAAAAGATAAGTATATTTAATTTTAATGAAAATTTGGCTCAATGGAATTTTGACTGCATGGAAACAACTGTTTAAAATGAGAATTCAAAGGATCCTTATTGATGATCTAGTCTTACCTCCTCATTGACAAAGAGTAGATTTTTACTTTTAGGGAAGAGCTTATATTTCCCTCATTTGTATTTTTTTATTTGTATTTTATTTTATTTTTTGAAACAGAGTCTCACTGTCACCTAGGCTAAAGTGCAGTGGCATGATCATAGCTCACTGCAGCCTCAAACTCCTGGGCTCAAGTGATTCTTCTACCTCAGCCTCTCAAGTAGCTGGGACTTACAGACACATCATCTCACACAGCTGATTTTTTTTTGTTTTTTTGTTTTGTTTTGTTTTGTTTTTTTAGAGACAGAGTTTTGCTATGTTATCTGGCCACGTCTCAAACTCCAGGCCTCTAGTAATCCTCCTGCCTTGCCCTCCTATAGTTTTAAGACTATAGGTGTGAGCCACCACATACAGTCTGTTTTTATTTAAAAAAAATTAAATTGAGGACTTGAAGTTTTTATTTAGGATTAAAGGATAGTTTTTAAAATTTAGTAGAGAAACACATTATTTCACTGGAAGGTAGTTTGCCAAAATATTTACAATGCTTACCTCTGATTGGTTAGATTACGGTTTAATTTTTTTTCATTTTCTTTTGTGCTTCACGTGTTTCATGATGAATATATTACTTTTGCAGAGATGAAATGACATTTTAGGCCTGGCACAGTGGCTCATGCCTGTAATCCCAGCACTTTGGGAGGCCAAGGTGGCCGGATCCCCTGAGGTCAGGAGTTCGAGACCAGCCTGGGCAACATGACAAAACCCTGTCTCTACTAAAAATACAAAAAATTAGCCGGGCATGGTGGTGGGCGCCTGTTATCCCAGCTACGCAGGAGGCTGAGGCACAAGAATCAGTTGAACCTGGGAGGTGGAGGTTGCAGTGAGCTGAAATCACACCACTGCACTCCAGCCTGGGGAATAGAGCCAGACAATGTCTCCAAAAAAATAAAAAAGAAATGACATTTTATAAAGTACATTTTGGCTTTAATAATTAATGTTTCACAATTTTAGATGACATTTTAAAAATTGTAGTAAAAACACAATGTGAGATCTACCTTTTTAGTAAACTTTTAAATGTGTAATACATTATTGTTGACTATAGCTACAATGTTGTACAGCAGATATCTAAAGTTTATTCATTTTGCTTGACTGAAACTTTATTCCCGTTGATTATTAACTCCCCATTTCTCCTCCTGCAGGGCCTGGCAACCATAGTTACTCTCTTTGATTCTGTAAATTTGAGTATTTTGTTAATACATACCTAAGTGGAATTATGTAGGATTTGTGTATCTGTGACTGGCTTATTTCACTTAGTACAGTGTCCTCAAGGTTCATCTATGCTTTGCAGATTGCAGAATTTTCTTTTTTTTAGAGTTATTTTTAAACGTATATGCCACATTTTCTTTATTCATTGCTCACTGGACATTTAGGTCCACCTCTTGGCTAATGTGAAGTGTTGCACTGTACATAGGCATGCTGGTCTCTCTTTGAGATCCTGATTTCAATTATTTTGGATAAATATCCAGTATTAATTTCTAGAACATATAATAGTTTTTTTTTAAGTTGTTTGAGAAACCTCTGTACTTTCATCCGTAATGGCTGCACCATTTTGTATTCCCATCAACAGCTGTGTAAGAGTCCCAATTTCTCCATACCCTGGTCAATACCTGTTGCCTTTTGTCTTTTTGATAATAGCCATCCCTAACAGGTGTGAGGTGATATCTCGTGGTTTTGATTTGCATTTTCCTGTTGGATTAGTGATGCTGAGAACCTTTTCATGTTCCTGTTGGCCATTTGCATATCTTTTTTGGAAAAAATGTCTATTCAGATTCTTTGCCCATTTTTTAATTGGGCCATTTGTGTTTTTTTTTTTAATATTGAGTTATAGGAGTTCTTTTATATTTTGGAGATTATCCTCATAATATATGTGTCTTGCAGTATTTCCTCCCATTCTATAGTGCTTGTTTTTCACGCATTGTTGATTGTTTTCTTTGCTGTGCAAGAGCTTTTTAGTTTGATGTAGTCCCACATGTTTATTTTGTTGCTTGTCCTTTTGGTGTCATCTGTAACATCATTGCCAAGACCAATGTAATGAAGCTTTTCTCTTAGGTTTTCTTTTAGGAGTTTAACAATTTTGAGTCGTATGTTTAAGTCCTTAATCTATTTTGAGTTGAGTTTAGTGTACGTTGTAAGATAAGGGTACAATGTCACTTTTTTTGCATGTGGCTATCCAGTTTTCTCAACACCATTTGTTGAAGAGAGTATCCTTTCTTCATTGTATGTTCTTAGCACCCAGATCAATTGACTATATTTGTATGGGCTTATTTCTGGGTTCTGTGTTCTGTTCCACTGGTCTATATATCTGTCTTTGCTCTGGCTCCATACTGTTTTGGTGTTTTGTAATTAATACATTTTGGTATCAAGAAATGTGATGCCTCCAGCTTTGTTTTTTCTGGATTGTTTTGGCTATTTGGGGTTTTTGTGGTTTCATATGAATTTTAGATATTTGTTCTAATTTTGCAAAAACTACTATTGGGATTTTAATCAGAATTGCGTTGAATGTGTAGATTACTTTGAGTAGTATGAATATTTTAACAATATTGTCTTTCAATAAATACAGGATGTTTTTCCATTTATTCATATCATAATTTCTTTTATCAGTAATTTGTAGTTTTCAGTATACAAATCTCTCCTTAGTTAAGTTTATTTCTAAGTATTTTATTATTTTGGAAATGTTGTGGCCTTTTCACTCCTGTAGTTTGGTGGGCAGGAGTGTTACAGTTCTGCTGCCCTCAGCTCAGCGAGCAGGAGCATTACAGCTCTTTCACTCCGACAGTTCAGCAAGTTCTGAGTTCTTGTCCCGTGACCAGGAGGAATAAGACACGTGGACACCAGAGAGGGTGTAAGTCAGAATAGAATTTATTGAATGAAAGTAAAGCTCTTGACAGCAAGAGGGGACCCAAAAGTGGGTAGCTGTCTGTGAGGCTGAGTCCAGGGTTTTTATGGACTTAGAATGTGGGAGTGCATGCTGATTGGTTTATGGGTGGGCTGGGAAAAGGCACCATTCATTTGGTAAAAGGGCATAATTCAGAAAGAAACAATTGGCAGAGAGTGGATGAGATGAGGAAGGAAGTTCTTACTCCAGTCTGTGGATTGTATCTAGAGTGGTAGCTCGGTTTTTAGGCTTTAGATTGTCCTTGGCTTGAAGGTTAAGTTTCACTGGGGACCTGTCCCTATCTGTCTGGGAATTTGTCTGTCTCCTGTCGCTATCAGTACTATTATAAATAAGATCATTTTCCTCATTTCCTCTCCAGATAGTTCATTTCCATTTCTATTCAACATAATATTGGAAGTCCTAGTCAGAGCACTTAGGCAAGAAAAAGAAATAAAGGCATCCAAATTGGAAAAGAGGTAAAATTCTCCCTATTTATTGATGACATGATCCTATATGTAGAAAACTTAAACACTCCATTAAAAAACTGTTAAAACTAATAAACAAATTCAGTAAAGATGCATGTTACAAAATCAAATTACAAAAATCAATTGTGTTTGTATATCCCCATTTTTAAATTTCAAATTCGTCAACAATAAATTTAAATTAGACCTATGCCTGTATAAATTATAAACTTTTATATATATGAATTGAAATTAATGGTGTTTATATTTTAACTTGAAATATTTGTGCATTCATGTATGTATTCATAAATATATATGTATAAAACAAAGGTAAAATATATAGGAGATTTTTCTTTTAAAGCGGTTTTTACTAAAATTTCAGAAATAAAAAAATGAGAGGTTATCATTCCCAGCCCTTTATTGTTAGTACTTTTATCAACCTACTTTACATTTATCAATCACTTAAATGTTTTTTGAGTGCCCAATATGTGTCAGGCTAAGGCTTAAAACCACACACAAAGGATAGCTTTTGCAAATCTTTTGATCTGGTAGAGTGCTAACATGCATATATGAAGAATTTCAGATAATATGATAGATTATATAGATAGATTTATAGAGAGTGGAGTGACCATTCTTGCTGGGGAGTGGGCCACTCCAATGCCTGCTTAATTTGGAAAGGAGCTTTAGAGGCAGAGGGACAAGTAATGCTGAAGAATAGATGTATGAAGGACTCAAAGCAGAAGAATGGAAAATCCGATCTGTAATTTTAGAAATATCATTTGAACTTTATCCAACTTCCAGGAGTGAAAACACCTTAACCAGTGTTAAATAGCTGTTTCTTAATTTGTTTTTATTCAAAGAAAAAGTATCGGACCAAAACCTCTGTTTTTATATTTTATTGTACTTATTTATATTTCATGTGTGTTAAAAATCCAAAATTAAAAAGAAATATTCGCAACTTAAATAATCATTGACTAACTGCTGGACACACTTTTTTTTTTTTTTTTGACCTGGTCTTTCTTGACATAATCTACCTTTTCATTTCTTTTTAAATGTAGTTTTTAATCAATCATGTTGTATATCTTTTAAATATTTTATTTCTTCAGCTCAAAATTCTCCTAATTTTTTTCAGCCTGAGATTCATAATTTTTTAAAAGTGCTAATTAGTGATTAATATACCCAGGAATTATTATATCACTGGTCCTTTGAAACTTTATAAATTTTGATGTATTGATTGGTTAATTTCTAAGAACTAGTTCAATTGCAATTGTACTTGCACAGGTACATATGTATATGTATACACACACACATATACATATATATATATATATTCATAATTAAATTTATCTCTGAAACTAAATATAGACCTTCCCCTTAACCCCCTCCTTTACTTAAATAGCCCTGGGAAATTTGATATTTGATTTACTATTTAGCGAACATGTAATTTAATAATGAAAACTTAAGATTTGCTTTTCATTTTAAATTATGAAACTCTGATATGTTTTATTTATTATGTGCACATTTATTTAAAATAAATAGAGCAAACATTCAAATTTAATTGATAATTTTGATACAATTTTTAAAATCCATGTTTAAATTCAAGTGGGAATTTTTATTTTTGAAAATCTCTGAGGCACATTATAAATAAATTTTTTAAACTACTATGAAAGTACCTTTTCCTTTATTAAGCTTTTTCCAGTATTCTCAGGTTATAGATATAATAAAACTCTTTTTGCTTACTTTGTGACCATACATGAGAACAGTGGAGGATCTCTGTGCCTGTGCTAATTAGAGGCACCCTCCTTGTACAGCACTATTTAATTCTCTGCTCTTTCGGTTTCCAGATGCCTGTACTCTTCAAACATCTCTTTGACCTGTAGACTGAGAAGCACTACCCAGAACTTGAGATTTCCACTAATCTCTAGTGCTATATAATCTGCTTTTCAAGAGTCAACTAAATTTGGTTTCTTTTCCTTGCCTACCTATTTCCAGTTTATTCACTATTCTACAGGATGAAAGGAAAATCAGGTTCCACCAGCTAAGGGTGAACTTTGGAGAAACTCTATGTTAGCTAAATAATCACATCTTTCTTTTCTGTTGCACCACACTCAAAATAGCTTAGTAAATTAGTAGCTTAGTAAATTATTATTATAATCATCTTATTTTAAAAGATGAAGAAATAGCTTTATTTGTTGAAAACAGTTGAATGTGTAGGAACAATTATTTCCACTTTATGGTACTAATGGAAAAATTAAATTAGACAGTATATGATTTTTCCTAGGCAATATAGGTAATGATAGTGAGAATTAATACCTATTTTTCCAAGTAATATTCTTTTTGCTACACAGTGCTGTTTATTATTATATATGCCTTCATTATTTTGAAATAAAACAATTGTTCCATTCAGAGATTACATGATTATGATTCAATTGCATTTTAAGAGTATTATATTCTTTTAAAACGTACTCTTAGATATCTTGAGAGGGAAAGCATTGTTTAGATTTTAAAAATGTGATATAAAAACAAAGTTTCTCTGCTAATCAGTATTTTCTAGCTCTTTCTAATTTTAGTAACTTATGAATATAAAGGGTTTATTGTGAAAAATTTTAACATGTTAAAATAGTTTTCAGATGAGGTAACAGAAATATAAATGTTCATGATTAGTTAGCTTTTCAAATTAGATAGAATTGAATTGAAAATAGCATTTTAATTTTAAATTTTATTTCTCTCATCTGCTTCTAGAAAATGGCATTTTAAAAATATATAATATTTTTAAAATTATTTCACACTTCTATAATGTTTCTATTTTCTACAATACACACACACATACATACTAGACATGAATTTTAGTCCTAAAATATACCTTCAAAATCAAATGTAGCTCTGCCTCATTTCAGGAGGAAGCTGTGGTATTTCATTTAATATAGGCTTTAAAAAATAATTTTATAGGCTTAAATGTGCTCTTATTGCAGGAATCATTCTCTGGGCTTGTGGTATAAGTCATTCAGTGAAATTAGAATGTCAAGTGCAAAACTGAATACCAAAGGTTGTTATTTGGATTGATGAAAAAGATCTAGTAACTAGTAACAAATGGAAAATGCCTATTTAAAAATTGCAAATATTTTATTGTTTTAAATTTTTATGTGTGTCAATTTTATAATACAAAAATCTCATCAAAATTACTAATATGAATTGAATGGAGTTTATTATAATCATTGCTTTTAATTTGTATTATAAAAAGTTTCAAGCAGGAACAAAAGTACACAGAGTAGTGTAACGAGGCCTCATGTATCTACTGTCCACCTTCATTGATTTCAATGCATGATCATTCTGTTCATGTATATGCTCATTTTGCAACCTTACTCCCAATATTATTTTGATGCAAATTTCAACAATATATTATTTCACTTATAAATATTTCTGTGTGAATTTCTAAAAAAGAAAACTATTTACATGCAAGTACTATGCCATTATCACATTAAAATAATTAGTAATAATTCTTTAATGTCATCAATAGCTACCCAGGTTTCAAATTCCCAATTGTCTCATCAAAATTATAATATTTTGAATTTACTTGTTTGTAAATATAACCTCTACTCTCTAACATGTCTATAATTTTCACATTTTTATATGTCTTTATTTTAGTCTCTTTAATCAATAAGTTTTTCCATAATTTTTTTCTCTCTGTTTTTGTTTCCCATGTAACAAATAAATGTCATTTGTGCAGTAGAGTTTCCCACAGTCTGGATTTTAATGATGGCATCCCTGTAGTTTAACAGGTTCATCAGTTTATGGAATTTCTTGTAAAATGTTAGCTAGATATAAAGGTTTGATCAGAATCATGTCTGATTTTCTTTTGGCAAGTCTATTTCATAGTGGTAATGTGTTCTTTCATTGGGAGTTATATTTGGCTTGTTTCTTTTTTTCGATATTAGTACCAACTGATGCTCAATGACTTTACTGATTTTTCAGGGATTGAAAATGGTTGTTCCAATCTTATCATTACTAACATACTAATTAACAGAATACTTCTAAAAAACATCACCACTGCCCATCACCTACTACTGGATTATCTAGTGAAATAATTTATACAGGAAAGTCAAGATAATTAGATGATTCTTTCCCTTCATTTGCTGACTCTCAAAATAATGAATTTATTTTCTAGCATTGTTTAATGATGAGTGATGATCTGTTGTTATGAGCTTATGGATTTAGACATACTTGACATATTTCAACCTGTTGCAGTTTATTATTCTAATCCATGGTTTGTTACTCTTCTCATTTTAATTAGTGGAGTCTCCTCAACTTTGAACTAAGACTTTGTACCACTCTTGCCCTAGACTGTGAATCAGCCATTTGTCCAAGGAACTTTGGTTTTGGGGGTTGTAGTTTCCAGTCTTTCAATAGTCAGAGTTCTTTTTTCTTTAAGATAAACTATGTCTTGTATTTACACAGCTTGTTCTAATTCAGAATCAGGACTGCAGCAGTTTTACATAACCGTTTATCTTACATTTATATCTCTTTTCACGTATATTTTCCAGTTCTCAATAGCACTGAAGGTAATAGAATTAGAGTATCACTTTCATCCCATGTTGCACACAACAGAGACATAGAATAACAATTCAAATACTACCTCATCTATATGAGTACTGAGTTTAAAATTTGTTTGCATTTCTTTTTGTCTTCATGATGTATCTTCTTAGGGGTATTACAGTCAAATTATTATGTTTTAACATCACATGAAATAGCTCCTGTCTCAATGCTTATACTACCAATTGGATATGTATCTAGGATCGTATTTTCATTTTATTTTCTATTGTCAGAAATTGCCCTTTTTAATTTAATTTTTTACATTTAAAGTGGTTTATTCTGAGCCAAATATGAGTGACCCTGGATTGTTACACAGTCTCAGGAAGCCCTAAGAACATATGCCTCTAAGTAGGTGTTTGGGATATAGCTTGGTTTTATATATTTGAAGGAGGCAAGTTACAGGCAAATACATAAATCAATACATGTAAGGTATACACTGGTTCAGTCCAGAAAGGCTGGACATATCACAGTGATGGCAGGGAGGGTGGGCTCACAGGTTGTAAGTGGATTCAAAGATTTTCTGACAGGCAATTGGTAGAAAAAGATAACCTCTGCCTAAAGAGTTGAACTTAGCAGAAAGAGATGCTTGAGTTAAGATAAGGTAGATAAGATCGCTAGAGTTAAGACTCTAGTTGTGAAAATTTAGGTTTTTATTATGTAGATGAAGCTTCCATAGAGCAGGCTTCAGAGAGAATAGATGGTAAGCCTTTCTTATCGGGACCTTAAAAGGTGTGAGACACTTACTTCTTTCCTGGATCAGGAAAAGACCTGGAAAGGGAAGGAGATTCTGTACAGAATACAGATTCCCCCATAAGAGACAGCTTTGCAGGATCATTTCAGAATGTGTCAAATAAATATATTTTGGGGTAAAATACCTTTATTTCCCTCAGGGCCTTCTACCTGTTATGTGATGCTATACCAGAGTCAGGCTGGAATTTGGTTATCTTATACAACAGTCTCTTTTGTTAGTTCTGTGATCTCTGTTTTAATATTAAAGCTTGTCAGTTGTTCTTAACCTCAAAAATGTAGGAGTTTCTTTATAGCAATGTGAGAACAGACTAATACAGAAAGTTGGTACTGAAGAGTGGAGCATTGTTATAAAGATACCTGAAAATGTGAAAGTAACTTTGGAACTGGGTCATGGGCAGAGGTTAGAAGAGCATGCAGGGCTCAGAAGAAGACAGAAAGATGAGGGAAAATTTGGAACTTTTGAGAGACTTATTAAATTGTTGTGACCAAAATGCTGACAGTGATATGAACAGTGAAGTCCAGGCTGAGGAGGTCTAGATGGAAATGAAGAATTTATTGGGAACTGGAGCAAAGGTCACTTTTGTTATAGGTTAGGAAAGAGCTTGGTTGCATTTTGCCTCTGCCCTAGGGAACTGTGGAACTTTGAACTTACGAGTGATGATTTAGGGTATCTGGAGGATGAAATTTCTAAGGAGCAAAGTGTTCAAAATGTAACCTGGCTACCTCTACTAGCCTGTGCTCATATGAATGAGCAAATAAATGATGTAAAACTGGAACTTATATTTAAAAGGGAAGCAGAGCTTAATGTCTTAGAAGATTGGCAGCCTGGTCATCTGCTGTCTAAGCTTGGAGGCTTGGAAAATTTGCAGCCTAGCCCATTTTCTGGGAAGGAATTCAAACTGGCTGCAGAAATTTCCATAACTAAAATGAAGGCAAATGCTATTAGCCAAGACAATGGGAAAAAAGCTTTGAAGGCATTTCGGAGACATTTGTGCAGCTCCTCCCATTACAGGCATGGGGACCTAGGAGAACTCAATCGTTTCATGGGCCAGGCCCAGGG
Source organism: Homo sapiens (assembly GCF_000001405.40). NCBI lineage: Eukaryota > Metazoa > Chordata > Mammalia > Primates > Hominidae > Homo > Homo sapiens. Next base: position 188,427,491 of record NC_000002.12, read on the forward strand.
CCTTGCTGCCCTGCACAGACTTGGGACACTGCTCCCTACATCTCAGCTGCTTCAGCTCTAGCCATGGCTCCAAGGGGCCCAAGTACAGCATGGGCCACTGCTTCAGAGGGTGCAAGCCATAAGCCTTGGTGGTTTCTACATGATGTTAAACCAGCAGGTATATACAGTCTTAAGAGTTGAGGCTTGAGAGCCTCTGCCTAGATTTCAGAGGATATATAGAAAAGACTGGATGTACAGGCAGAAGCCTCCTGCACTGGTGGAACCCTCATGGAGAACCTCTACTAGGGAAGGGGAAATGTGTGGTTGAAGCCCCCACACAGAATCCCCATTGGGGCACTGCCTAGTGGAGCTGTCAGAAGAGGGCCTCTGTCCTCTAGACCCTGGAATGGTAGATACAATGGCAGCTTGCATCCTGCATCTGGAAAAGCTGCAAGCACTCAGTGCCAGCCCTTGAGAGTAGCCATGGGGGCTGAGCCCTGCAAAGCCACAGGGACAGAGCTCCCCAAGGCCTTGGGAGCCTACCCATTGCATCAGTATGCCCTAGATGTGAGATATTGAGTCAAAGGAGTTTATTTCAAAGCCTTAATATTTAATGACTGCCCTGCTGGGTTTCAGACTTGTGTGAGGCCTGTGTACCCTTTCTTTTGATCAATTTCTCCCTTTCGGAATGGGGGTATTTACCCAATGCCTGTATCCCCATTATATCTTGGAAGGAACTAACTTGCTTTTGATTTTACAGGCTCCTAGGCAGAAGGGATTTATCTTGTCTTAGATGAGATTTTGACCTTGGATTTTTGACTTAATACTGGAATGAGTTAAGACTCTAAAGAACTGTTGGGAAGGCGTGATTGCATTTTGCAATGTGAGAAGAAGATGAGATTTGGTAGGGGCCAGGGGCTGAATGATATGGTTGAGATCTATGTCCCTGCTCAAATCTCATAATGAATTATAATCCCCAATATTGTAGGACGGGCTTGGTGGGAGGTGATTTGATTATGGGGTGGTGTCTCATGGTTTAACGTAATTTTCCTAGTGCTGTTATCATGATAGATTTTTCACAAGAGCTGGTTGTTTAAAAGTGTATGGCACCTCGTTCTTCTCTCTTTTCCTCCTGCTTTGGACATGTAAAGTGCAGGCTCCCTGTTGGCTTTCTTCCATGATTATATGTTTTCTGAGGCCTCCCCTGAAGCCAAGCAGATGCTGCCATGCTTTCTATAAAGCCTGGGGAACCATGAGCCAATTTAACCTCTTTTCTTTATAATTTAACCAGATTCAGGTGTTTCTTTGTAGCAATGTCTAATGACTACATTCAGAGAATGACTAATTCAGAGAGAAAAGTAATCTTTGTTGTTTTACCCACTCTTGTTAGCTCTAAGGACTTTAAAAAAAAGTGTGTTTTTTTTTTAATTTACTCTGGAAAACAAAACAAAGAATGAATAAAGTTTTAAACAAAAGATAAGCACTGCCTAGCTCTGATGATGACAGGAAAAGGATACTCACAGGCAGCTAAATATTTAAATTATTTGGGACTAAGTCAAAGAACATATTATATTGTTAGATAGAGGAAACATGACTAAATGAGTATTTATGGTTTTGTATACAGGCCTGGTACTATATCACATGAAGGCAGTTTATTTTGACTGTCATCCGCTCTCAGGTCTGAAGATGAGTCTTTAACTTGAATTTGGTGTCAGATACCAGTGTTGATGTTTAAGATTCAGTAGGAGTTGGGCTGGGTGTGCTGGCTGTCACCTGTAATCCCAGCCCTTTGAGAGACCAAGGCAGGTGGATCACTTGAGACCAGGAGTTTAAGACCACCCTGGCCAACATGGCAAAACCCTGTCTCTACTAAAATACAAATAAATAGCCAGGTGTGGTGCATGCCTGTAGTCCCAGCTCCTTGGGAGGCTGAGTTATGAGAATCTCTTGAACCCAGGAGGCAGAGGTTGCTGTGAGCCAAGATCTTGTTGGTGCACTTCAGTCTGGTCAACAGAGCAAGACTCTGTCTCAAAAAAAAAAGATTCAGTAGGAGTCAGTACTCCTTTTCAGATGAGTTAGGAGTTAGGTGTGTACCTACGGGTCAAAGCCTTGCAACTTAACAGCACAAAGTAGTTTGGTTAACAATATTTGATAAAGACCCTGGAGCTGGAGAGAATTTTTTAAATGATGTTTAGTCTTTCGGCTAGAGCAGGTAGGACTGGAGGTTTTTGGTTATTTTTGTTGTTTTTTTTTTTAAGAGACGGAGTCTCGCTCTGTTGCCCAGGCTGGAGTGCAGTGGCGCGATCTCTGCTCATTGCAAGCTCCGCCTCCTGGGTTCACCCGCCGTTCTCCTGCCTCAGCCTCCCGAGTAGCTGGGACTACGGGCACCTGCCACCATGCCCGGCTAATTTTTGTATTTTTAGTAGAGACGGGGTTTCACCGTGTTAGCCAAGATGGTCTCGATCTCCTGACCTCATGATCCACCTGCCTCGGCCTCCCAAAGTGCTGGGATTTCAGTGGAGTTTTTTCCTTAAGTGGAAGCTGTAAAAAAATTTTACAACCTTACAGTGGTTAATTTTTATAATTTTAATAAGCCCCTAGCAATAGCTCTAAGTCAGACACTTAATTTAGTGTTCGATTTTGAAGATGTTTGTCAAAGATGTTAAAAGCCTCAAAACATTTGATTAAAACAGAGTCATAGGTCATTGTAAAATAACAGTTATTCATTTATCCAGTGTGATAATAAAAAGAGCTCAAAAGTGATGTAAAAAGTTACATGGATGTAAAAACTTATCTCTCAAAATTTAGTTTTCTTAAGGCAATTTTAAAAACCGAATAAAAACAACAGGAATTGTTGCAAAATCTTTGTTTCTTAAGCTAGTTATCAAAAAGGTAAGGAAGAGCCTGCAGTGTGATAGTTTTTGCTTATGGGAAGCTCCTTCGGATAACCAGAAAGTTAAACTTGATGAAAAGAGAATGTGAGTTAATCAGACATAGGAAGACCAGTACTATGTCATAGAGCCCTTAAGCAAGAGAATATGTGACTCTTAGCGACAACATGGGAAGTTGCCTGGTTATAATGAACACTTTAAACATATGTTTGGGCTCAGAAAACAATACCCCACAATGGAAGCCTCAGAAACAACTTCAAAAATAAAAGTTTTTGGCCTTCTGCCCTTCTGTCACTCAGCTCCATTTTCCCTTGAGGCTGCCCATAGAAACTAGAACCTCTTTTCCTCCATGTGGATCCTAGAAACCAAAACTCCTTTTCCTCAAAGCCAGCAATACAAACTAAAAATATTACCCTAATTTTTCCTTCACCTTTCTGTGTGAGAACCAGCCATAAAGAAATGCTCTGATCTTCCTTGTTGGACTGTAGATTATAAGACTCCCATACCCAGAAAGAAGGAAGTGCTTACTCAAGGAGATTAAGAATCTATACAGACAGACAGGCCTTGCTGGCTTTTCCCACACAGTCTACTAGCATTAAAGTATACCCTTTTTAATATCATATTTTCACGTCTTTCCATACTTTATTGACAGTATAAAATTGACAATTTACCCTGTATCTTTGGTCTTTCTTCTGTAAACTCCCCCATATATACACCAAACAAATCTGCATACCTTCCCTTCAACCAGTCTGTCTTTTTTGAGCTTTTTCGTTGATTTTTCAGCAAACCTTCAGAGGGCCTCTGGCTGCTAAACATATTAAGAAAAGCCAGGAGTACAGAATTAAGTTATACTGGAGGAAAACCGTGTCTTTTTAAAACCTTCAAAATAAAACATTTTAGCATCAGGCTATAACAACAGATGTAGAACTGGAGGAAAAAAAAAGTGTTACAGGAGCCAACAAAAGTTGAAGCTTCAATGAATGGGTGTGTGAAAGAAAAAAAAATGTTGAAGAAGAGAGTTAGCATCTCAGGTCTTCTCAAAGGGTGGACAGTTGAAAGCAGCAGGGTATAGAAACTGAACTTTTAAAATATCAATCTGAGAAACTTAAAAGAAACAGATTATATAGAATTAAAAATTTAAAACTTACAATTTCACGAAGAGTAATTGTAAAAGTAAAGAAATCTTGTTATACTAACCAATTATTTAGTTATGTATTAGCATATTTTAATGTAAAAGCTTAATCTCTAGGAAGACTAAGTCTCTTAATTATAGCAAACTTAACCACGTAGAAAATATCTTTTATTAATTCTGTTTTTATGAATCTTATCACGACTTACAAAAACCATTTACAACATGCTCATACTTTCTATTTTGTTGTAGATATCCATCTGCCTTAACTAACCAGTCATTTATGTTAGGACAGAAATTTATTATACAAAATTATTCTGTTTTTAAGCTTTCTTGTCAGAAATACCTCTTAATATCTGTAGTTTCTTCACAACTTTCTCTCTTACTTACTGGTTTCTTTTTCATTTGTTTCATAAATAATATTGAAATGAACTTTGAATTAGATAAAAATTATTTTCCTTTTAAAAAGAACACATTTTCATGTCTGTCATAATTTTTTTAATCCAAACCACATCTTATTTTGGCATACTTGATATACAGAATTATATAGGAACTAGAATTTTTATACTTAGTAACCTTACATTTTTGTGAAAACCTAGGAAGTAGAAATCTTGAATTGTCTGTCACTTCAGCATTTTATAGATAAGAACCATTTTATAAATTTTTTAAGAAAAAATATCTTCGTATGTATTTTTTAAAATTGGAAATTATACAGGCATTTAATGAGTATATATCATTTAATTTACTACAATTTAAGATTTTAAATTACATGACAAGCTCATTTATAAGCATTTATCCTGAAACATTTACCTAATTAATTTATTTTTAATAGTTTACCTAGATTACTTATGAAAAACTGAGATATTAGAAAAAGCTAGAAATTATTTAAAGTTATTTTTCTGTTAATCATTTTTTTTTTAGTCTGTGACTATCGGGTATTTATCTAAGTAAGAACCTTAAGGTTAAATATATGGTTTTTAAATTGTTTTGCCAATAACTCAGGATTTTACTGTTTTCATTAAACCGACAACACTGAATATCTTTTTTATCAAAAATTACACAAATATAATTCTGTTTTGCATTAGGTTTATAGTTTTATAACCTTCATGTCAAAACTGGACACCTCATAATATCTAGCAGAGATAAATATAAAACTGCTTAATCAATAAATTCAGAAAAAAATGTATATTGATGATTCTGAAGACATTTTAAAATTTATTTTAATAGTAATTTAAAACTCAGCTTATTTATTTAATATTTACTTAAATCACATAAACTTGAAAAATATTTTGGCTTATTTATGTAATTTTTGAGTACTCTATTTTCAAGCCAATTTGGTACCTCGTGGCCAAAACACGTTACAAAATACATGTCCCTACACATAAACATATCTAAACACACATACACACAAACACAAAGATCATATTGCTTTTACTTCAGAACTCTGGCTATGAGATAGTAATATGAACTTACCAGCTTACAAAAGAAAAAAATGTAAAAGATTGGGTCCAAAGAATGGGTTTTATCTTGACACCAGTAGAAAAGTAATGGCAGATTTAAAGCAGGCAGAAAAAGAAAACAGAGAAACAGATAACTTAGCTTTGAAGACTCTATATTTTAAAATGTGTACACTAGAAGACCATAACCAGATGAAGTACTAAAAACCCCAGCATGCCCTTGAACTTTCCCATTTACGCAAATACTTGGAAGCAGAGGTGCCATAAAACTGACTGGGTTGCTCCAAAGGGGGTCATTCTCTTTGTCTTTCTTCATTTGTAAATGATTTGTTTATATATATATTTTTCTTTAAGGGAGGAACTGAACTGTAGTCTAGATTTCAGTGTAGTGGAACTGAGAAGCTCAGTCTGTCATTTGTTTATGCAACGGACAGTCCGGTTTCTCGAGCAAATGCAAAGATGAGCTAATTGAAATTGATTATGAGAGAAAAAGGCAATGGAGAAGATCCTTTAGAATGAACATCTGAATCAAAATTAGGATCCTGAAAACTTCCCAGGAAAAGAACAAGCTCAGACTAAACCAAAGGACTGTCAACCAAGTGGGAGATCCAGGGCTCAGGACGACTAACAGTTCTATCAGAGAAGAATCTCTCAGTCGAGGGGCTTTCAATGGGCACATCTTGGTATCTTAGTTCTGAGTTCAGGTAATTCCTTTAGCAGGTCCTGAGTTTTCTCTGAGGCTGCCTATGGGTGCCAATTAATGCTGATGAAAGAAACCAAACTCTGTCAAATATTCAAAGAGGTTTTTTCTGAGCCCAATATGCATGACCATGGCTTGTAACACAGCCTCAGGAAGTCCTGAGAACATGTTCTCCTTGATTTAATTTTGCTTTATAATTTAGCAAAAATTTACATTTTTCCACAGTTCAATTTACAAAACAATTTAAAGAAGAGTGGCCTCAATCCTTGTCCTCTCTACCTTATACCTTTTTTTTTTCATTATAGGTAAACAATGGGGTCTGAGAGTTAGGGCATAATATTCCCCCCACTTTTTTTTAACTGGAAATTTCTAGTGAAGATACTAGCCTTATGTCATTGTTTTTTTCAGGTAGTTTGGATTCCTGAAGGTGATAGTATAAGAAGAGCTGACTGAATAATATTTCCTTAGTGTCGCATGCAGAAAACAGTTGATCTGCACCTTCATATTTCAGAGTTACTTGTGTGCTCCAAAATCACCTTTTATTTTTATTCCTTCAGTTGTCTTCTACCATAAATCATTTGCTGTCAATGATGTCAAAACTTTGATTACAGTCTATTTTTCTTTCTCCTTTATAAAAAATGCCTTGGAGTTCTTTCCCTACATTCCCAAAGTTTCTTTTTCTTTTTTTTTTAATTTTAAAATTTTGCTAGAATTTGAGTAGAATATGTCTCCTTCTTGGTTATTATGGTGACTTTGCCCAAGTTTACAACATACTCTTGATATGTACATGTTTTTGAATTTAAAGTATTTTTTTAATTTTTAATTTTAGTATCCATTCTGCCTCTTGTTTTGGTTTACTTCTTTGAGGAGTCTTATATGTTGGATTTTTTTTTCTGCCTTCCATATTTGTGACATCCTTTTGAATCATTTTTCTTCTTTTTTTATTTGAACATTTTCTTATGTTTATATTTTTGTTTTTTTTATAGTGCTACCCATTTTGTTGCATTCTTTCTGGTTCATTTTTCCTTTTAGACATTACTTACTTTCCTTATTTTTAAATTTCCTGAGTTCTATCACCCAATTTCTGAGTTTTTCTAATTTTTATTCATATTGTTTTTTCATATCTTCTATTTTCTTAATTGCTTTTAGCTCATTTTGAAAAATTAGGCTAGAGTTTTAATCTGATTTGTTGACAATTTTTGTATGCTTTCATTGCTTGTAGGGATGTTATTTTCTCCTCCTTTTCTTTTATAATCTTATCACAACTTTACATAAGATGTGAGCACAATGTTTTGTTCATTTTTAATTTTTGTCATGAGATTAGACTTTCTAAGATTTTAAACAAAGGTAGTGGCTTACAATATCTTTTCTATATTTATAATTTTGTAACTCTCAATTCTGGTGGTTTTAATAGATAGAAGTATAGCTTCATACTTTCAGATTTATCCTGGCCTTGTCTTCTCCCCAGTGTTTTTCTGGACTTTTTCTTTAATCACTCTTATTCCAGTTTGTCTCAGTTGGTTTTTATTTCCAAAATTTACCTTTAATATAAGACTTAGTCCTGAAAGGTAGCTTTTGGGAATTCATATGACTCAGATTGTTCCAACTCTTTTTGATCTGAACACAAACACAAACCTTTGCCCTTGCCAGTGAGTTGGCTTAGAAAATGCCCTTTCAATTACTGCTGATCTCATTGACAACCTGTTGCCTATTTTGGTATGTTAAACGGGCTTTTGGTATCCTTTATTTTCTCCAACACTGATGCCGCTACCATGAGTGTCTTCTGACTATTAATGGCTTACTCTCACTCAATTCCATTATAAGAATCTTTGAGATAGCTTGTGCATTAATTTCCTATGTCTTATAACAAATTCTATGCCACATGATACACTTGGCTGCTTAAAATTACAGCCATTTATTACTTCACATTTTTTGTGTGTCAGAAGTCCCATAGACTTACCATACCTGTGTCCTTGGCGTAGGGTATCACCAGGCTGAAATAAAGGAGTTTTCTGGGCTGTATTCTCATCTGTGGACTCTACTAGAGAAGAATCTGCTTCAGAGATCCCTCAGGTTGTCGGAATTCATTTCCTTGCATGCAGCTGCACAATTTATGGCAGGATGCTTCTTCAAAGCTGTTAAAGGAGAGACAAAGGCTGTACTTTTTGTAGTCTCTAATGTTAGGCAAAGACTGGGATCTCTCCATAGGCAGTTCTTAACATGGCTCTTTCCTTCTACAAGGCCAGAAGAATCTCTTTTCTTTAAAAAGGCCCAGTCCCTCTTTTAATGAATCTCACTTGATTAAGCCAGGTCTACGCATGTTAATTTCTCTTTTAATTAACTCAAAATCAACTGTTTTGAGACCTTAATTATATCTACAAAACCTCTCCATCTTTACCATGTAACTTAAGGTAATCCTGGCTTTGATATTCCATTATATGCATAGGTCCTTCCCACCCTCAAGGGGAGAGATTGTACAGGGTGTGTACACCAGGTGGGCAAGGATCTTGGGGTCCATTTTAAAATCCAACCATCACAGCTTGCCACCTATTTTTGTTGTAGATTTTGTTCCTGTTTTTGTTTGTTTGTTTGTTTTGCTATTCTGGTTGTATTATCTTTTATTATGGAGGAATTCACAAACTAGCCATCATGATTACCTTTCCCTAAAATCCTTTAATTAAAGTTTTGTATATTAACACAATTTAATAGGAAGTAATACAATAGTAACAAAAGACACTACAGCATCATAGGTATGATATTCCGATATCAAAGTATAGGTCCTCAGTCTCTCATCATTTTGATTTAAAATTACTTTCCTCACTGATTTAGCTGATCCTCCCAAGTTCTCATTATAGAAACATGTTCATGTCTCCATTATAGCAATTAGTACATTTTATTATCTATATTCTTTGACCCTTGATTTCTAAACTGGCAAACATGGATCCCTACAGGAAATTCAAGGAAAAAAGAGACATTAAAATTTGTATTAAAAGTTATTTTTTATTTTTTAACTTTTGACTTATATTTTCAGCTATATTTCATAATATGTGCACTAATTTAACAGGTAGTTTATACATATAGTTTTAAATTGAGTATAATATGTGTTCTGTAAGAATATATTAATTTGTACATATTTTGGGGCACATGCTCAAACATTTTTCACATACAGTGTTCATGAAGAAAACATTTTGGAAACCACTTTTTAGATAGTGAACTATTTTAATAGGTGCTGTATATCTCTATTTCTATCCATAGATCTTTTGCACTTGGCACATACATAAAAACAATAAAATGCAGCTGTTCTGCAATAAACTAACATAATGTTATCACTTACCTGGACCACAGCATTATCCACTATAGTTCTATCTTCTTTTATTAGCTTTACCATATCAGTTCTGGTAGGACAACTTTTCTAATATGTCCTTGTTTTTAGTATGTGAAAACTATCAAATTATGTTTTTCATATTATATGCTAATATCTGTTTACTGATAGGATGAATATCTTGCAGAAATGTCCCTGAATCTTTCATAGAAATGTTAACACTTATGCTTTCCAGGTTACATTTTGTGTCCAAGGAATGAAGAGTATTAAAATCTAAATTTTTTCATTGTGTTTGCAAATGCTCTTTCAGGCTCTTTAAAATTCAGAGCCCAAACGATCTAATTGGCAGTTGTACATATCAAGCTGAAGTTAGAATTGATTATACATTGCGATCATCTGTTTGTTCTATTTAGAGGTGAAAAAGCATTTCTTTTCCCACTTTGGCTTCAGTATTTGTTTGGCAATCAAAGTACTTGGACTTGTAAGTTACATCAGTGTAAAATACTTTTTTAAAAATGAGATTTTTAAAAAATGTATTCTTTAAAATAATGTTTAGTAGTTCTGAGTTCAAAGAAAAGACATTCAACCCAGCAACCCCATTACTGAGTATACATCCAAAGTAATAGAAATCATTCTACCATAAAGACACGTACATGTGAATGTTCATTGCAGTGCTATTCACAATAGCAAAGACATGGACTCACCCTAAATGCCCATCAGTGACAGATTGTATAAGGAAAATGTGGTACATATACAGCATGGAATACTATACAGCCATAAAAAGGAAGATCATGTCTTTTGGGGGAATATGGATGGAGCTGGAGGCTGTTACCCTTAGCAAGCTAACTTAGGAACAGAAAACCAAATACCGCATATTCTCACTTATAAGTAGAAGCAGAATGATGAGAACTCATGACACGAAGAGGGGAACAACAGACACCAGGGTTACTTGAGGGTAGAGAGTGGGAAGAGGGAGAGGATCAGAAAAAATACCTGTTAGGTACCTGGCTTAGTGCCTCGGTGATGAAATAATCTGTAAAACAGAGCTCTGTGACATGAGTTTACCAGTATAACAAACCCACACGTGCACCCTGAACCTAAATTAAAAGTTTAAAAACATTAAAAAATAAATACATAAAAAATACAAACGCAGTGATGGGAGTTCTAATATATACTTCTATTGTGGTTTGAGAAACCAAGACTAAGGTTAATATAAAATCTTATCCAGGACAAACAGAATTAAAAAGCAGCTGTGCAAATGCATTTCAGCCCCCAACTTGCACTTGCATTTCATCTTCCAACATCTTATTGGCCAATGCAGTCGCATGCCCAATTTCAAAGCTTGCCCTCATGAAGTCACATCAAGAGTGTGATATATACATATATAGATATAGATATATCACATGTATAGCATATATTATGTATGATACATTATATAATTATTTTAATAATTATGTCAAATACATAATATATGACTACCAAATTATTAATAGTTATATAATCAGTATATTAACATAACAATTATTAATATAATTATTCTATTAATAGTCTAATAATTACAGTAAAAATCTATAATAATTTTGTTTTTTTCTGTCATTTCTTACTTCCTATTACATTGTTACTGGTTAATTGCATTATTCCCAATTCTTTGTTCTCCTGCTATATATGTTATATATGTCTGCCACATAGAATATATATATCACAAAAAAAATGTAAAGAAGGCACAAAATAAACTTGCATGAAAAAATCCAAACACATCAGTAGTCAAAAGGAAATAAAGTAGTTAAAACACATGTTTTCAGACTGAAATAAATATAAATCTATATGCTGCTTAGAGAACTATATTAGTTTACACAATGCTTAATATTATTGATTTGTATGTTTTCATGTCTGTAACAATAAACTGTGTTGCATAATATAAAAGAGAAATGCCTTCACTTATATACTATATATGTTCCAGAAATGTATAAATATCTAGTTGCATTTAAAAGTTTTGGAACCAATCCTTTCTTAAAAAAGAACTCTCTATGAATTGTTTGTTAAATTAGGAATATTATTAATTTATCATTTTAAATTGTACTCTTCTCCGGAAACCATATTTAATTCTTTTTCTTATTTCCAGGAGAGCATATTTCTACCAACTATTGTTATTCAATAAATGTTTAGAAGTCTTGGTTAGCTGATAATCTCAACATTCCAGAGAAAAGTAAATTCAGAGAAAGTAAGAGCTGTTGGAGTTGGAAAGGGATGGATTTCATAAAGATTAAAATTTAAAACATCAATTTTACAAATGAAGAAACCTTAAAGAACATTTTTCATTTTGTATGGCATTTTAATCATCATAATTTTCTAAATTCCTGTCTGGTTGCAAATTAGAACCATTAAATTAAAGTTAGAAGAAAAAAAATTCTACCAAAATACATAAGCAGACAAAGACGTATATATGTATAAGAATGTCATTTACAGCATTCTTTCTGTATCTCCAATACCTGAATATCTATTGTTTGGTTAAATAAATTATAATGTATCCACACAATGGAATGGTAATTGGCCTTTAAAAATGTGAGATGTGAGAAAAAGACTATGCATGTGTGTACACATATACACACATGCTACTGGTGTGTGTGTGTATGCGTATTTGTTTGTGTGTTCTGTAATGTTATACACCAAATTGCTATCAGTGGTAAGGACATGACTCTGGTGGTAGGAGGTAACTGGGAGATGTGGTGAGGGGAATACTAATTAGACTGTGGGGAGGACGCCTTAATTTTATCTTTCTATATCTCTCTTTTTCTCAAAATTTGCAATATGCTTTTCATCATGAAAAAAATCAAAATGGGAAGTAAAATATCAGAGACAGCCTACACTGATCATTTTTTATGAGTAAGGTGATGCAGGAAAAGCATTAATTAAATGAAACTGCCTTACATCAAGTAGTACCAGACAATAGAAAAGGGAAATCATTTAAACCTTATTCGTTTATGCATATCCTATATTTTTCCAAAATAGAGTACCACCAAAACATCTAAATAATTCAAAAGTGAGGAAATAACAGAGAGGAGATACATTTTTTGAAAAGTAAAACTAAAAAGAGCTGGTTTATTACAAAATGCATATACTGGAGATCTATCACATTTGCTAAAATTGGGCCACAAATGTGGTTCTAATATTTCTAACAGCCAGACCAGATAAAGAAACATGATTCACAGTGTTCATTAGATAAAAACAAATCTATTGTTGGGAAGCTGTAGCAGTCATTTTGCATCAGCCTGAGGGCAGAGAGGATAACTGTTAAAGCTTCTTTCACATGTCATTCAAATGCTAAACTTAACTGTAGAAAGGTCCCAATATAAAATTACAATAAAAGCCAGGTTGTCTAAAACATACCTATTTTAAAAGTTACCAATGGGGAATACCTCAATCTTCAAGGTTACACGGGGCATTAATTAATTTCGGAAAGGGTCACACTCATGCAAAAGTTTGTTTTGATATTGTAGTATTTCAACTTTGAAATAACTCCTGTCTTCAATATACTGCTTACATTGTTTATGTGTTATGGCTACAAATTTTTATTAACTGTAGTTTTCACTAGCCATTTCATGTTATTATTTTTTGAGACAGAGTCTTGCTTTGTCACCCAGGCTGGAGTGCAGTGGCACTATCTCGGCTCACTGCAACCTTCGCCTCCTGGGTTCAAGCATTTCTCTCGCCTCAGCCTCCTGAGCAGTCATACTATTTTTGCAATAAATAGAGGGTACCTAAAACATCCAAACCAAGTTGTTTGTTATCAACTTGAAAGTGGAACCATAATATACTTAATTCCTCAATACTTTACTATGTGGAATATTTTTGGTAGAAAAAAAGATAAGATTCCACTTGTATATTGGGAAATTTTATTTCTGTCAATATCAAGATGATGGAATAAATCTTATTAGTCAGTCTTCAGATGTATGTTGGGCCTTTATTCTCAGCTCAGAATGCTGCTAGGAATTGTAGGAGGAGAAGAGGGGCAAAGGAGATGTAAGAAGTGGTCCCTATCCTAGTTTGGTTTGCATATTAGAGGGCAAAGGCTTTGGGATAGCATTCTAAGCTCTGCCGGGCCAGGTAGATAGCACTGTCCAATTTGTGGTGGATAAACATCACAAGTCAGTGTTTGGAGATGAATATAATATACCTAACATCTATATAGTGCTTTAATATTTACAAAATACTCGCCCTTATGTTTGATCCTCTCCGAATCCATCTGCTTAGAGGAAACCACAAGTTTCCTCTTATTTTCAAATCTCCCAGCACATATAAGTGGAAACTATATATCTGGCTTTCTATACACCCTTTACATGCTGTTCAGTGAATCATGTTGACAAAATAAATGTTTATTATGATCTGTAGAGTTTAGGAAGCTGAGGCTGAGGAGGGTTGATATTTAACCTAAACCACTCACTGCATTTTGGAGCTGAGATTTAAACTGAGCTTTGCCCTCCTCTAAATCCAGCAGTGTTCCTGCTTGTATTCCACAGTGCTAGGACTCTTATCAACCTTGCTGCTGCTCAGACTTGAGCCTTCTTACTTGGCTTCTGGGAACCTTTGTAAGGGGTGTTTGCATTCAGGCTCAAATGCCTAGCCACAGTGAATCTTCCAGAGAGATATGTAAAAGAGGGAGCCTGAACATCTTCCTATCTTCATAAAATTAAGATTGAGCAATAAGATGGAGAAAAGAGAGGCCTGATGCTTTTCAGTCTACCTTGAGCCCAGGCCCAGGGAGGTCCACCACTGAGCCTCCCACCTGCTGTGGTTTGGTTAAATGAGCCAGTATAAACTCCTTTTCTTGCATGTGCTAGAATTGATTTTCCTTTATTTGGATCTGATAGAGCCCTGACTGATAGAGCTTTATGAGTTAAATAATGCAACAGATCTAAAATGGCTTCTGTTTACTGTACAAGCAAACATTTTGAGTTAGACTTTGCGTTGATGTGTTGACAGTTTAAGACCTTTGGTTTTCAAAAACATAAAAAATAGCCTTTAAAAAATGGCTGAAAAATATCAAATGTCAGTGAATAGAAATGTACTTTTGTTTTTAGAGTACCAGTAAAATTATTCTTCTAACAATAATTACAGAGGTTAAATTATTTGTGTGAAAAGTAAAATAATGGACACATTTGAAATTAAAACAATTGTTGGTGACATTTTAAATTTATAATAAAGGTCAAAATAAATTTTCTTCCATTTGATGTTTTTGAATAATATATGGAGACTTAGTGTGCAAATACAATTTTCTGCCCGTAAGGTAATGTGGTTGTTATTTTTGTTGTTATTTTGGTCTGATGACTTTTAGTCACGCCAGTAAATGTAGTTAGGGCACATGAATCTTCAGGTCGTATACAAAGTCATTAACATTAATAGCCACATTCTGAGCAGTTTACAAAATGAAGAGAGGGAATTTAATAAAGTCATTATAATGGATAACCAATTTGCTCTGTGAATAAAAAGGCATTTAGATGTTATATTTATAAAAATAAAACAAAAACACTTTCTAAGCCACTTTTGAAAAATATGTAAATTACCTAGAAGTACTTTTTTTGTTTGTTTTAATTTTGGCTCCTAGGTAAGTACTGAGATGCTTTTGGGAAAATAGGATACACTAGAGAGTCTGGGTCCAAATCTCACACTTTCTACTTAAATGATTGTAGACAAATTTATCCAACTCTGTTTCCTCATCTGTAAAATTGGGTTATAAAATTCATGGAATGGTGCTTGGCTTATAGTAAAAACTAATAGCTGTTAATATCTTATGATATGACACAGCTGAATCAAGTAGTTTTTATGTGCTTTGCTAATTAAATAATGGCGCTATAAAATTCATGACTTTGAATTTTATCCAAAAGATCAGATTCTGTCCCTTCTCTCAGCTTCCCCATCATAGCTTTCCCTGTCTGAAAAACAGCCTGTCTATCAGCTTTGTACCAGAGAGGAGTTATCAAGGAAACAAAATATACAGGTGCATAAACAGTCTTAGGAGACTGAAAATTCAGGTGCCTTATGAAGAAGAAAACAGCGGCAACAACAAAAATCCCTTAACTGTTCATAGTTTTAAATATTAAAACTATTCATGTTTGAACCCCTGTTGGATTTGTATAATGGTCTTGGGGAGAAGATGCACCAGAGAAATGTAAGAATTAGCAAGTATCCAGAGAGATATGGTACACTTAGCTAAAGCGGGCTGTGGGGGTGGGGGTTGGCGGGGGGTTCACCCTTTCCTGACTTAACTTGCTAGAACAGTGGTTAGCCAAATGCCTTAAAATTGGACATGTGCTTCTAGTTTCACATAAGCCTTGCTGCCCCTATTATGTTGTAGCTGGCACGATTTACATGTTTATTTTACCTCCTGATTCGTGAAGCCCTCTGAATGTTCAAAGTCTGATCTAAAGCCACATCTATCACATTGTAGACATTAAATAGGACTCCCTATGGTATTTAAATCAACATTCAACACAATGGCTACCATTTCACCATAAGAAAAAAAAGAGTTTAATGATTGACCCTCGAGCCTAAGCAGTCAAGCAAATATAAAGTTAAAATGGAGTTTCACTCATCTAGAACAGTATTTTATCAGTTTATATTATGAGAAATTTAGATTACAAACCTGTATACAGTTCTATAAAATGCATGTTTTGCTAAAAACTGATTTTATAAATAGCTTAAACTGAAAAAATGAATTTCTTTTCTTTTTTTTTTTTTTGAGACAGAGTCTTGCTCTGTCGCCCAGGCTGGAGTGCAATGGCACGATCTCGGCTCACTGCCACCTCCGCCTCCCGGGTTCAAGCAATTCTCCTGCCTCAACCTCCTGAGTAGCTGGGATTACAGGTGCCTGCAAAAAAAATGAATTTCTAATTCTAATTATAATTTAGGGTGGAATTTAAATATTTCAATTAAGAGTAGTAATTCTCATCATATTTGTTTTTCTTCAGAAAGGGAAAGTCAATTGCCTTTTTTTTTCCATTCCAAAAATAAACTATTGGAAAGATTTTTGAAAATCCACTGTGGCATCCTATTTTCTTTCCTAGTACTCATGGCCAGTTCCTAGCGTCTTCTTCTCTACAGTTTTACTTGTATTACCTGCATCCCAGACTATTACATACACCCTTAGCTGATCTTCCTGCCTTGTAAACTTTCCTTATTCAAATTTGCTGTTCTCCAAGGATACAAAATTTTCTTTAAATAGGAGGAATAAGTTCAAGAGATTTGTTGCATAATATGATGACTGTAGTTAATAACATATTGTATTCTTGAAAAATGTGGATGTAAAGTGTTCTCACCACAAAAATGATAACCATGTGAGATAATTCATATGTTAAGTAGCTGGATTTAGTGATCTCATAATATAAATGTTGAAAACATCATGGTGCACATGATAAATATGTACAATTTCATCTGTCAATTTAACTATTAAAAAAACAAATTATACGACACTGGTCTTTGCTTCCAGGTTAATATTGAGAAAACACATTTTCCTTGATCAATATCTAATATTATCTCTCAAAGTATTTTTTCTACCTGCAATTTAATTGGAAAATATGACTCCTTCATAAGCCAGAGTGATTTCTGCTTTCCTGAACTTTGGGTCACTCCTTTCTCTCACAGCCACTTGGCAGTTATCCATGCCCACATTGTATCATAGTAATTTCCGATATTCTGTGTGCATTCCGGTCCTCAGCATATAACTGGGCTGGTGTGATGGAAAATGCCAAGTTCAGTACTTTGTAGATTATAAGCAGTCAGTACATTTTATATTGAAATTCTGATATTGTGCATTTCAGGTCAGCAAATTCTCTCCATGTTGTCTGTGAAGCTTTAGACAGAGTTTACTAAAAATATCCTATACTTTCACCTAAACACTGGCAGTGACATGGTTTTACCAAATGTATCTTTTTAGAATCTTGTGTAATAAATAGTAGATTTTGAATGATAATATGAGAATATGAAGAAATTTTAAAGCAGACTCAACTGATTGTCACCTATTATTTAATGTTAATATCCTAATTTTCTGCCAAATTTATAATAAAATGTAACATTCTAATTTCAAAGAGGAACGAAAAGGTTCCTAGTTTATGCAGAGACTGAATTTTCAGTATCTCCATATTCTTAGTTAATGCATCCCAGACTCTCCGATGTTTCTTGCTGTGATGGGTGCATAAACCTTGACGTTTGATGCCATTCAGCCTTATCTCAATTCTAGGTTTCTTCCTCAGCTTGCTAACTCTGTCTTGCAATCTATCTAGGTCCCTAGATAAATGAAAATTATAGTAGAAACAAATGAGGAATTGTTTAAAGGAAAAAAAAACAAAAACACTGAAAGCAGGAAAGATACAGAGCATGCATTTGATTGGAAGAGAGATTCAGAGACAGCAATGGCAGGAGACCCAAATGGCTTATGAGTGACTAAAGCAAGGACTGTCTATCTACTCTATTCCAAAAATGAGCATATACTAAGTGCTCTAGCAATCAATAGCTTTGATAAAAATAAATATTTTTGAAATACATAGGGTTAACAATGGAAAAGGCATGTTTGAGACCTCATCATGTCTCTTATATCTATTTTTATTTCCTACCACTCCCCACAGACTCTTCTCCAGGTCTGTCATGATACCAGATGAGCACAGTACTTCATAGATTATAAGCAGTCAATAAATTATGAGTAGTGTCCACAACTAGTTTTTAGTGGAAGTCAGAGATTTTTGGGACATTTAGAACAGTGTTGTTGGGCAGTGAAAAGGATCTTTTAAAATCTTATTCATGTTCTATTATTCTGCTATTTTCTTTCCATTCCAGATCATTATTAATCCTAGGAGTTGAAGCAGGTTTTCTAATCTCTGGATGCATTTTATAGATGGTTGGGGAAAGGTAGTAAACCAAACATGAACATGTCAGGTAATTTTAGGATTTAACTTCAGCCTCTGTTGCAGGGACTGATCATTTAAGGTCTGTAAACTCGTTTATGATCACAGATTTACATATGGTAGACACTATTAGCTGCCCATTCTTCAGCCATTCCTCTAGCCTTTCTTGTCAATGAGTCCACCATCTCCTAGAAAGGCTAAAATGACCCATATTCATTTCCCTACTTTTTGAGGGAGATATCATCTCATCAGGAGACCAATTTTTGCTTGGGAGCATCTAGAAAGTCTTTTTTCATGCAATAAAATGAGATATTCTTCTACCTGCATTTATATATGATTACCTAAATAGAGACAGCCAACTTGTGACTGTGAAACAACAACCTAAACACAAGAGTAATCATGTGGAGGATGGGACAACTGAATTGAAAACACTAGTGTCCTGGATAATAGCTATTTTCTGGGATATTTACCAACCCTGGAACCATTGACTTTCTGATTTCTTATAAAATGAGATAATAAGACCCTATTATGCAAACCGCTTTTGGTCAGCCTGTTACTTGCATCTCCAAAGTATCCTTACAAAGACAAATGGAATCCAAGTTTGGCTACTCTTAGGTGGCGGCATAAAATTGTTCATAGGGCACAATTCTAACTTCTTAGACTCTGAGTTCAACTTTGCTTTTTGGGTTTTTGTATTTGGATTCTGCTATTCTGACTGGATTTAGGTTACTGGATTATCTGTCTCTGCCACAAATGACTTGTCTGGTTTAAATTTCTTCAGTGCCAGTGCTTGTTACATACACTAGGATCCTTTCACTTTTTGACATGTTTATCAAGCAGGACTTTAAAACAGTAAATATTAATTTATATACAAAGAAAATCAGTGTTTGAACTTATATGGATGAAGTATGCTTTGACTTAATGATGTAGTGGTATTTCTTGCTAGACATTTGACATATTTTGGAATAAAAGTTGCTCTGGTCACTTTCATTGAGTGATATTTTGGAAGTGTCAACAAAAAGAGTCAAACTCTGTAAAATATTTGAAGAGATTTATTCTGAGCCAAATATGAGTGACCATGGCCCATGACACAGCCCTCAGGAGACCCTGAGAACATCTGTTCAAGGTGGTCAGGGCATAGCCTCGTTTTATGCATTTAGGGAGACACGAGACATCAATCAAATACATTGGTTGTCCCACCAGAAAGGTGAGACAACTTGCTTCCAGGTTATAGGTAGAATTAAAAATTTTCATATTGGCAATTGGTTGAAAGAGTTATTATCAATAGAAAGGAAAAGGAATGTCTGGGTTACTATAAAGAGTTGTGGAGACCAGAGTTTTATGATGCAGATGAAGCCTCCATGTAACAGGCTTCAGAAAACATAAATTGTAAATGTTTCTTATTAGACTTAAAGAGTCATTTCTATCAGCAGTTCTGAAAGGGAGGAGGGTATAATGAGGCATGTCCATCTTCCAGCCCCCATGATGGCATGAACCAGTTTTTCTGGTTAAATTTGGATTGCCCTGGCCGAGAGGAAGAATCTGTTCAGATGGTTGGGGGGCCTTATAAGTTTTTTTATTTTGTTTTGTTTTTGTTTACAGAAGGCATTGCTTCATGATAATGAATCTGAGATGGGAGTCAGCCTGGTATAGTGGAATGTTCAAACTCTAATATCCATTAGAGTCACACCAGCTTACAGTAACATTCTGATCCCACTACTTGATTGACACATAAATTTGGCCAAATCATCTTGCTGCATTAATCCAGATGCAATCATGTTGAATTGCTACCATTCTGAAAATATTATTTTGAGAAATAAATGAGATGCTACATAGAAAGTACTGGTGCATTGCTAGACACATGCTAGGTGCCAAATAGATAGTATATCAACTCTTCAGCACTCTCTGCAAATGAGATTGAAATGAGGAATTTCAGCTACTCTGTGAACCTGCTGGTTTTATTTTATTCCATACTCACAACCTGCATGATGCTGTAAATGTGTCTTGTTTTCTTATTGATCACTGTACGTTTTTTGAGAGAAAGAATTCAAACTCATTCTTTTCAGGACAAAGCATAAATAAAGTATCAGTAATTGATACTTCTGTGGGAATATAGAGATCATTCTGGTCAAAGCAAAAATCAGACACATAGACTGAAGACATAATTTGAAACATCAGAACCCATAGTCTGTGCCAGGTCCAAACAAAGGTGGTAAAATCAGAGATATAGTTTGGATTCTGAAATAGTGGAATGTATGGAAGTTTGATCACTTGTGGTGGTAAAATCGCAAATTAGAAGCATTTCAGAATGTTTGACAAAGTTTACATAGATAATAGACAACAAGTGTAAAAGCAGAGTTGTTAATAATATCTAGTTTTAGGAAATATTTGTGTAATTCTTTGTCCTACACTGTTATAATCAATCAGGATCTGTATTATTTCTTTTTTTGCTATTCCAACTTTTGTTCTCCCATATTATCCCAGAAATAATTTTCCCATGTCACTGAAAAGAATAAATCAATTTAAAAACAGTAAAAATAGTAAAATAAATATTTTACTTAACAAAATTATCTTCCTTTGGAAAACACGTGATGAGAATTGAATTTTTATGGCATTTTTAATATAGCACTAAAATTTCCTGAACTTGCCATTAGAAGAGCTGGAGTCAGATATTTAGTGTCTTACCAATTGTATGATCTTGGAAATATTTAGAACTTACATTGGACCTATGTATCATCATCTATAAAATAAAGGTTGTTTTACCTGCTTCAGAGAATGACTGTATTAAATAGAACATATGTGATATGGTTTGAGTATTTGTTCTGCCCAGATCTCATGTTGAAAGGTAATCCCCAATTTTGGAGGTGAGGCCTGAGTTCTCATGAGATATGGGAGGTGTTTGGGTCATGTGGGTAGATTCTTCAAGGTTTGTGGCTGTCCTAATGATAGTAAATGAGTTCTCATGAGATGTGGTTGTTTAAAGTAGGTGGCAACACCCCTCCCCTTTTTCCTCCTTCTCTGGCCATGCAACATGCCTGCTCCTGTTTTGCCTTCTGCCATGAATAAAAGCTCCCTGAGGTCTCCCTGGAAGCTGAGCAGATGCCAGTGCCATGCTTGGACAGCCTGCAGAACCATCAGCCAATAAAACCTATTTTCTTTATTAAGTACCCAGTTTCAGATGTTCCTTTATAGCAACACAAAAACAGCCAAACACAGAAAATATGTGAAAGTGCCTAGATGTTCAGATCTTGGCACAGAATAGGCACATAATAGATATTCGCTGAACCTAAATGTGTTATTCTTAAATTTGGTATTTGTCTTTTCCAACCCCATTTTTCCCACCCTTGCAGAAAATCAGAATGTTTATCTTTCAAAAATATGTTAGTCCTATAGTAATTCTATTTTCATTTATCTTATCAAGTACTAAAGCTAACCTCAGGCGTAGGTAATGTGTTTCAGTGGGTTCTGTTTTACTATTTTTTCTTGTTTCGTCTTCCACACAACTTTTCTTTGTATTCCCCTCCTCCCCCAATTGAGTCTCTATGATTTGCAGCTTTGGCCTGCAACCCCAATACATCTATTTATTTTGCTCACTAAGGATATTGTGTAGAATGAATACTAATTAGGTAGTGAATATACTTCTGGGGATAGCATTATGGAACTCGGTTTATAACAGTATCAGGATACAGATGGCATGAGCATTGTGAGATATCATTACTTCCATGGGTAGTATAGAGTATGGAGTACAATGATGAAGCTAAAAATTAAAATAGGCATTTCTACTGTACGCTTTTCAAATGAGAATACATTTCTGCTAATGGGAAAGATTGTAAAGAATTCCCATTGCTACTCTGGGATTCAGCATCTTGGAATCATGCCTGGAAATAATGCATTGAAAAGATTGTATGAGATTATGGCCAAAGTGAATTGTTGCCACATTATTGGCAAATTCAGTGAGAAATTGGTTTTCCTTGAAGTTTAAAGGAGGTAGGTTTTAGCAATAGTTCAAATGGCTTTATAGAGTTTATTCATTTTTTACTTCATTTGGATATTTAGAAAACTGTTCTTGGCTCTGATTTTCTTTCTTCCTCTTTTCTTCTCTTTCAGTAGTACACATTTAGATTTCAGCTTATTTATTCTAAATCTAACCAAATGCTTCATACCTATGGTTTACATATCAATACATGCAAATTGATGGTTATCTAAGATAATATTAATAATGTACATGATATGAAGAAATTGCCAAAAATGTTTGTTATGTGATCATCACCAACACCATTAAGAAAGATACTTTAGTGATCTTGTGCTATATTTCTGGCACTGTGCCAGGTCATTTAGGCTTTACAGAACATGATGAAAATAATTATTTTACTGATGAGAAAGTAGGGACTTTCAAGTTTACATTTGTTTGTTGTCTAATTACTATTTTTATCATAATATTTATGTATGTAATCACTCTAGGTTTATAATAAATAACAGTTAAGTGTGTATAATACAGTTAAATTATATTAGAATATTGTAAGCATTCTTTTTAAACCATTTCTTGCCAATATATGAAATAGGGGAATAATAGTTACCTGGAGTAATTAGATGTAGGAAACTAGCTTAGTGTGCACATTTTTAAGTGACTTCTTCAGTATTAAAAAAGTAGTGTTTTTCTAATCACTATATAGATATATACATTATTTATATTCATCTGGGTATATACAATTATATATTTTTCCCTGAATGCTAAAGTGGGTGCACTCAGTGGGCCACGATGAATTATTATCACTTTCTTTGACTCTCTTTCATTTAGAATGTTTTATACAATATTAAAAAAAGAATATTAGGACATGACATTTCTTTTTGAGACAAAGATGTTTCCCGTTTATTAAGTGCATTTGTACTTAATAAACTTTCCAAAAGAATTGCTCTTCTATAGTTCAGTTTGGGACCCACAGAAGCAAGAGTAGGATTACTCCATGTTTCAGGAGCCTCAACTTTACTATTCAACAAGGATTGCAATTCGAGCACCATCTGCTTCACAGCTGAGAATCATTAAGCTTCAGCAACATTTCCCCATCTCAGCACCTGACTTCTGCCAAGCAAGTAGGAAGTTTTGCCTTCACCTTCACCTTTCAGCAAATTACTCAATTAGTAAATGGGTATATGCTACCATTTAAACTCCAAAATGTAGTGACTCTTTTTAGCTGAAAACAAACCACCATTGGTATCTAAATTAACATTGTATTTTGCTGATGATTTCTAAACTTGAATTGTTTTTAAATGCTACTTTTCTACTTAATTTTTCCTAACAATTTATGATGTAAAACACATGGTACATTCGGGAGGAAAGCATGTTGTTTCACTTTACCTGACCAATGTTGGCATGATCAAAGACATTCACAAATGTTCACTTTTGTTGGATTGCTGAGTGAGCATATTTGTGTGATGTTAAAGGAATGAGCTTGGGCTGTATGTTGCCACATATGGTTTGCATTATGATAAATGAATGTTAATAGGAAAAAAAAAGTAAAGCATTGGAAACATGAGAAAACTCCAGATTTATTTCTCTTTAAAAGAAAGTTTTTATTTTACATCTACCAAGACAGGACATCTTTGTAACAGGGCATATACTACATTTTTATCATTAAGTAATTATTATCTGCTGCTTATTCTATTAAATGAGTTAAGTGAATATTTTCCAGCACTCAAAATGTGTTTACATTTTATGGATAGTCTCATAATTTTAAAACTGATTATTTTAATTTAGGCTTTTTGGTTTTCTCAATATTAATGTCAAAATTGAAAATACAATGTTTTTAAAGTGTGCTTTGCCTGCACTTTGTAAACTATGTAACTGGAAATTCTCTTATCTCTCTTTATAGTTTATTCTTCTCTTTGATATCCCTGCCAGATTATACTAGGAAAATAAAAAAGAATACATTTTAAATTGCACTAATGTAATTCATATACATTGAAGCAGTTGGTTTTTATGTATGTGAGAAATATATCTGTCATTAATATATAGTAAGTTAAAGTTTTATTTTAAAGGCAAATATGGACCTCAATTAGTGATAGTAAATATGTTTTAAATAGGACATTTCTCCAGTGGAAGAAGTAAGCTTTGAAACATAAAGATGTGCAGAATTAGGATGAATTGTTTTATAACTGAGATTTTTATAATTTTGGATCACTAGAAAAGTAAGTATATGCACTACAGCATTTAATATTTTCTAATATGCAGACTTAGCTTTCTAAATTGAAAAAGGCAGGAACCAACCAGTCTTGTTATTCCCGGACTTGTGCCTTTTCTGTCTAGTTGTCACTAAATCTGAAGATTAGGCTTTGTGACTCCTCTTTTAATGTGTTAAGAATAATGAAAGGAAAGAAAGCACCAGATCCAAAGGCCAGTGTTTATTTCCATAGATGAATCAGAGAACTAGAAAAACCTGGAGGTTTTTCACCTCCAGGTCACCAGCCTGAAAGCAGAGCAGGCCTACTGGGATTCTGCCTGACAACAATTTTAGGATATAAAAATGCAAAATAAAGAGATAGATCACATAGTTCAAGTCTCCTTTTTAGATGCCAAGAATTACAAAGAGACTGTGTTTTTCCCCACATATTTATGAACTTTTCAAACCCATCTTATTTAAGAATATTTTTTCATTTTATCTTCTGCAATTCTCACTTCTCAAGAATTTATAGAACTTTATTCCTGTATTTTCTATTATAAGCATAATAAATACACTGTTAATATGTGTTTCAAAACAACAAATGGTAGGTCCCTTGCCCTGCCTCAACTGCTGATACTGTGACATGTGCTCCTACCTACTTGGGAAGCACTAGTCCAAAGCAATCCACAGTGTCATTTTGGGGTACTACATGACAAGGATCGAGTTTCCCACCTTGTCTGTTTCTCCCACAGTCTCTAACAGAATTCTTGTTTCTAGAGGTAGAATTTGAATATTTTATTAATACAATAATAGGGTATATTTCAAAAGTAGTAAATCATATTAAAACTATTAGCACTTACAACATTAAGTAGTAAATAACACAGCAGAAATATCAAATACACTTTTTTGGAGGATTGTATGTAAAACAGTCAACTTAAATTCCTATTTCTAACAAAAGGTATATTTGCCCTTTTTTTTTTTAAGGTGGGGTCTCACTATGTTGCCCAGGCTGGTCTCCAACTCCTGGGCTCAAGTGATCCTTGCATCTCAGCCTCCCAAAGTGCTAGGATTACAGGTGTGAGCCACTATGCCCTTCTTTTTAATATGGAATTACTCACTTTTGTCTTTTATGTATTTATCTACCACAAATATCTGTTTATGTGTTAAAATAAGCCAATTTACAAAATGTTAATTTACAATTCTTCTAATTTTATGTGTTAATATAGATATACAAAACACCATTAAAATGGAGAGGAATTTCAGAGTATTGATCTATTTAGAAATGTAAATGTTTAAAATGTAATGTTATTAGTGTTCTGTAAAAGTGTTTTATCCTAAAGTATTTATTATTCTAGATCTTTTGCCCCCTTTAGGCCTTCATGGAAACGTTTACATGATTGTCTTCATAGTAACTCATTATATGTGCCCTCTTGTAGGACCTGGGCTTGATATAGATTGGTGGGTGTGACTCAGCACCCCTATCAAGATTTTGGAAACTAAGCCAGAGTTAAGCAACAGCATAAACATTTATCACAAATATCGGAGTACATGGGGACTCTGAGTTTTCCCTTGGCTTTTCATTGAGTAAAGGCTAAATAATAACAGTTATTGACATATTCCAAGATACAGAGAGCAATGGCCAATATGTAGTTCGAATTATTATCTTTTTCTCTGCATAACTTGCTCAAAAGAAAGGATTGCCCTTACTCAACCTCACTGCACTTCATTTTGTGTGTAGTACAAGGGTAAGGGTGGGGAATAATTCCACTAAGTAAAACAAAGACCAGAAATACGAAAAGGGACAAGTCAAGGTTTCCAGCAGGAAAAGATATTCTAGGTTACATGTGTGAATTTTGCTAGTTCTGTAGATGCTAATGCTTCAGGTGCTTTTGGCCTTTCTTTCTTTCCACTGCACTCTTGGCTCCCCAGCCTGGACCTGGTCACTCCATCTGGTAATGATGCAGGGTTTTTCTCAGCCACTTTGCCACCTGGGGACCCGTATGGCTGGCAAGGCCCCCCTGCTGCCTGAGCCTTGCTCAGGCCCAGGCCTGCCGCTGGAGGTACCCTGCCCACTCAGCCTGCCTGTGTTATAGCTTGTACCCCTGTTTGGCTGCTCCCAAGCTCTTGTCCTATGTCCAAGAAGACTAAGGATATGCTGACAATTTCAACGGTGAGGATGGCAGAGAATAATTTTATTGAGTGATGGGACTGCTCTCAGCAGAGAGGGGATGTGGGAGTGTTCCCCCAATCCTGCAGTCTGGTGGTTTCTCCCCCAGTATGGCTTAGTCTGGGGTTTTTATAGGCACAGAATGGGGAGGGCATGATGATTAGTTTGTGAGTATGCAAAAAGGTTAAAACAAAGGCACCACTCAAAGGTGGGCATGACACAGTAAAAAACTAATTAGGGAAGGATAGGTATATGTAAAATAGGTGAACAGTGGGGATCAATCAGAGGAAAGCATGCCAGACAGGAAGACAGGTTCTCAATCTGGTCCAAGGATTTACCCAGGACAGCCTTTGACTTGAAGGTGGGGTTTCACCAGGGAACCACCTCTATCTGCCTAGGCATTTGTCTGCCTCCTGCCTCTGTCAGTAGATCAGGATCAAAAGGGTCTAATTCAAATTGGATAAGAGGACTTACTGGTGAAAAGGATGAGGAAATCCAAAACTGAAGACTGCTGGTACAAATGAATAAAGAGGATCAGTAATTTTAGTCACTGACCTTAGTTGTGACGAAATCCACATTAGGCATAGGGACACTAAAGTGTATCTTTCTCTTCTACCTCTTATCTATGTCAGAAGAAACTTTAAGAAAACCTTCGGCTGGGCATGGAGTTTCATGCCTATAATTGCAGCGCTTTGGGAGGCGGACATGGGAGGGATTACTTAAAGCTGAGTTCCAATCCGGCCTGGGAAACATAGTGAGACCCCCATCTGTACAAAAATAAAAATAAAAACAAAATTAACCAGGTATGAGGGTATGCTCCTGTAGTCCCAGCTACTCAGGAGGGTAAGCCAGTTGGATCACTTAAGCCTAGGAGTTTGAGGTTGCAGTGAGTTATGATCATGCCACTGTACTCCAGCCTTGGAGACAGAGTGAGATCCTGTCTTCAAAAATAAAATAAAATAAAATAAAATGTTCTTAGATATAAATATATTCACATGACAGACAAAATGTATTAGTATACCTAGGTGCATATTTCCCCTTTGGTCATTAATTTGTGAACAAGTTTCAACCCTATGATAATTTAAAAATATTCCCAAAACAGTAAATTGTAAGTGAATATTCATGTTGAGTACATGATGTGGTGTGGCTGTGTCCCCACCCAAATCTCATCTTGAGTTGTAACTCCCACAATTCCCATGTGTCATGGGAATTATGGGGGCAGGACTTTCCTGAGCTGTTCTCATGATAGTGAATGAAACTGGAGATCTGATGGGTTTAAAAATGGGAGTTTCCCTGAACAAGCTCTGTTTGCCTGCTGCCATCCACACAGGATGTGACTTGTTCCTCCTTGCCTTCTGCCATGATTTTGAGGCCTCCCCAGCCATGTGGAACTGTGAGTCCAGTTAAACCTCTTTCTTTTGTAAATTGCCCAATTTCAGGTTATCAGCAGTGAGAAAAAGGACTAATACAGTAAATTGGTACCAGTAGAGTGGGGCACTGCTGAAAAGATAACTGAAACTGAAAAGATAACTGAAAATGTGGAAGCGAATTTGGAACTGGGTAACAGGCAGAGGTTGGAACAGTTTGGAGGGCTCAGAAGAAGACAGGAAAATGTGGGAAAGTTTGGAACTTCCTAGACACTTGTTGAATGGCTTTGACCAAAATGCTGATAGCCATATGGACAATAAAGTCCAGGCTGAGTTGGTCTCAGGTGAAGAGGAGGAACTTGTTAGGAACTGGAACAAAGGTGACTCTTATTATGTTTTAGCAAAGAGACTGGTGGCATTTTGCTCCTGCCCTAGAGATTTGTGGAACTTTGAACTTGAGAGAGATGATTTAGGGTATCTGGTGGAAGAAATTTCTAAACAGCAAAGCATTCAAGAGGTAACTTGGGTGCTGTTAAAGGCATTCAGTTTCAAATGGGAAATAGAGCTTAAACGTTTGGAAAATTTGCAGCCTGACAAGGCAATAGAAAAGAAAATCCCATTTTCTGAGGAGAAATTCAAGCTAGCTGCAGTAATTTGCATAAGTAATTTGCATAAGAATGTTAATCACCAAGACAATGGGGAAAATGTCTCCAGGGCATGTCAGAGACCTTTGCAACAGCCTCTCCCATCACGTGCCGGAAGGCCTAGGAAGAAAAATCGGTTTTCTGGGCTGGGCCTGAGGTCCCCGTGCTGTGTGCAGCCTAGGAACTTGGTGCCTTCCATCCCAGCCGCTCCGCCATCGCTGAAATGGACGAATGTAGAGCTTGGACTGTGGCTTCAGAGGGTGCAAACTTAAGGCCTTGGCAGCTTCCACATGGTGTTGAGCCTGTGGGTGCACAGAAGTCAAGAATTCAAGTTTGGGAATCTCTGCCTAGATTTTTAGAAGATGTATAGGAATGCCTGGATGCCCAGGCAAAAGTTTGCTGCAGGGGTGGGGTCATCATGGATAACCTTTGCTAGGACAGCGAGGAAGGGAAATGTGGGGTGAGAGTTCCCACACAGAGTCCCTACTGGGGCACCACCTAGTGGAGCTGTGAGAAGAGTGCCACTGTCCTCCAGACCCCAGAATGATATATCTGCTGAGAGCTTGTACCGTGCACCTGGAAAAGCCACAGACACTCATTGCCAACTCATGAAAGCAGATGGGAGGGAGGCTGTACCCTGCAGAGCCACAGGGTACAGACGTGGAGCTGCCCAAGACTATGGGAACTGATTTGCTGGATCAGTATGACTTGGATGTGAGACATGGAGTCAAAACAGATCATTTTGGAGGTTTAAGATTTGAATCCCCCACTGGATTTTGGACTTGCATGGGGCCTGTAGTCCCTTGGTTTTGGTCAGTTTCTCCCATTTGGAATGGCTGCATGTACCCAATACCTGTACCTTCATTGTATCTAGGAAGTAACTAGCTTGCTTTTGATTTTACAGGCTTATAGGCAGAAGGGACTTGCCTTATCTCAGATGCGACTTTGGACTGTGGACTTTTGAGTTAATGCTGAAATTAGTTAAGACTTTGAGGGACTGTTAGTAAGGCATGATTGGTTTTGAAATGTGAGGACATGAAATTTGGGAGTGGCCAGGTGCCAAATGATATGGTTTGGCTGTTTCCCCACCCAAATATCAGCTTGAATTGTAACTCCCACAATTCCCACATGTTGTGGGAAGAACCTGTTGGGAGGTGATTGAATTATGGGGGTGGCTCTTTTCTGTGCTGTTCTCATGATAGTGAATGAGTCTCACAAGATCTGATGGTTTTAAAAATGGTAAGTTCTCTTTGCCTGTTGCCATCCACGTAGGATGTGACTTGCTCCTGTTGCCATGATTGTGAGGCCTCCCCAGCCACGTGGAACTGTGAATCCAGTTAAACCTCTTTCTCTTGTAAATTGCCCAGTCTTGGGTATTTCTTTATAAGCAGCATGAAATGGACTAATACAGTACAATAAAGGGATATGATAAGAAGAGGAACATAACTGATGTAGTTTTTAAGGCTGGATCAGTTTCAAAGGTAAATTTTGTTTCAATATATGGATATAATTTATCAAGACGTCTTTGCCCTTTTTTCTTTCTTACTTGTGTGGAAAAATCCCAACCCCTGTTAATGACTATGCATTCTTCTACTTAAGCAAACAATATGGCTGGAACAAACCCCCCACACATGCATTCCCTCATACAACCATGTTTATTAGTTATACTTATCTTACATTTGGATTGCAGTCATCATAAGGTCATTATAATTGTACAGAAATTTAACCTCCTTATATCTTCCATTCACTCTTCTATTTGAGATGGCTCTTTTCTGCCTAAACAACCCTCTTTTTCTGTTCTTGAATCCTTATACCCCCATCATCATACTCAGAACTAATACCTACTCCTTATTCAACTGAGAAAATACATGCAATTAGAAGAGAAATTCTACACTTTCCCATCACCAAATCTACCAAACTATTAAGTATTTTAGTATGTTTCCATGAGTCAGCCTTCCCTTCTCTTATGCTGAATGAATTGCTTCTGTTCATTTAAGGACAGGGCCTTCTCTTTGACCATATTCCCTCATACTTTCTCAAAGAACTTCTTCTTGCATTTATGCTCTCTCTTTTCTGTATCACCAGTTTTCTCCTGTTAACATAATTTTCCAATCAGCATAAATACATATTCAATAGCTCCCCCAAAAATGTCTAGTCTTAGTCTATCTCACCCTCCATTTCCTACCTTATTTCTCTGTTTCCATTTAAAGCAAAATTCCTTGAGTTTCTCTACTTCCTTTCTTCATTTCTTTCAACCAGTCAGGCTCTTCTAGCCCCCTATCCTCTGAAAATACAATGCAAAAGTCTACCCACACCAGTCAGGCTATTTTATTTTTATTTTTATTTTTTGTGGGTACATAGTAAGTGTATATATTTATGGGGTACATGAAGTGTTTTAATACAGACATGCAATGCATAATAATTACATTATGGAAAATAGGCTATCCATCCCTTCAAGCATTTATTCTTAGTGTTAGAAACAATCTTATTATACTCTTAGCTATTTAACAAAATTAACTTAAATTACTTTTGACTATAGACATCTTTTTGTGCTATCAAATGGTAGGTCTTATTCATTCATTCTAATTTTTTTTTGTACCTGTTAACTCTCTCCATCTCCCTCACAGCACTCCACCCCCATCCCTACACTCTGCTTCCCATATCTGATACCCATGATTCTACTCTCTACCTCCATAGGTTAAATTGTTTTGATTTTTAGATCTCACAAATAAGTAAGATCATGGGGTGTCTGTCTTTCTGTGCCTGGCCTATTTCACTGAACATAATGACTTCCATTTCCATCCATTTGTTGCAAATGACTGTATCTCATTCTTTTTACAGCTGAATAGTACTCCGTTGTGTATAACTGCCACATTTCTTTTTGTCCATTCACCTGTTGATACACACTTAGGTTGCTTCCAGTTCTTGCCTATTGTGAACAGAGCTGCAACAAACATGAAAGTGCAGTTATCGCTTTGACATACTGATTTCCTTTCTTTTCAGTATATACATAGCAGTGGGATTGCTGGAACATATGGTAGCTCTATTTTTAGTATTTTGAGGAACTTCCAAACTGTTCTCCATAGTGGTTGTATTAATTTACACTTCCACCAACAGTGTATGAGGATTTCCTTTTCTCCACATTCTCGCTAGCATTTTTTATTGCCTGTCTTTTGGATATAAGCCATTTTAATGGGAGGGAAAGAATGTACTTTCTGAGGCTACAGAAAATACATCCTTTTCATATGCCTATTTATCATTTTGTGTCTCCTTTTGAGAAATAGCTATTCAAATTTTTGCCCATATTTTAATCAGATTATTAGATTTTTTCCTGCAGAGTTGTTTGACCTCCTTATATATTCTGGTTATTAATCCCTTGTCAAGTGAGTAGTTTGCAAATTTTTTATCCCATTGATTGTTTCCTTTGCTGTGTAAATGCTTTTCAACTTAATGAGATACCATTTGTCCATTTTGCTTGGGTTGCCTGTACTTGTGGGTTATTACTAAAGAAATTTTTGCCCAGATCAATGTCCTGGATGTTTTCCCTAATGTTTTCTTATAGTAGTTTCATAATTTGAAGTCTTAGATTTAAGTCTTTGCCTATATTGATTTGATGTTTGTATATGGCAAGAGATGGGGTCTAGTTTCATTCTTTTGCATATGGATGTTCAGTTTTCCCAGCATCATTTATTGAAGAAACTGTCTTTTTCCCAGTGTATGTTTTTGGCGCCTTTATAGAAAGTGTGTTTACTGTAGGTGCGTGGATTTATTTCTGAATTCTCTATTGTGTTTCATTGGTCTATGTGTCTGTTTTTATGACAGTACTATGCTGTTTTGTTTGCTATAGCATTGTAGTACAATTTGAAGTCAGGTAATATGATTCCTCCATTTTTGTTCTTTTTGCTTAGGATAGCTTTGGCTACTGTGGGTCTTTTATGGTTTCATACAAATTTTAGGATAGTTGTTTTCTATTTCTTTGAAGAATGTCGTTGGTATTTTGATAGGGATTTCATTGAATCTGTAGATTGCTTTAGGGTAGTATGTACATTTTAACAATATTGATTCTTCCAACCCACGAACATGGAATATCTTTGCATTTTCTGGTCTTCTCTTTAGCTTTTCTCATTCGCATTTTATAGTTTTAATTATAGGGATCTTTCACTTCTTTGGTTAAGTTAATTCCTAGGTATTTAATTTTATTTGTGGCTATTGTAAATGGGAATTCTTTTTTTTTTTTTAGATTGTTTACTGTTGGCATCTAAAAATCCTGTAGAATTTTGTAGGTTGATTTTTATGTTCTACAATTTTACTGAATTTGTTTATGAGTTCTAATAGTTATTTTTGTGTTTTGGTGGAGTGTTTAGGTTTTTCCAAATATAATATCCTTTCATCTGCAAATAAAAATAGTTTGGCTTCTTCCTTTCCAATTTGGCTGCCCTTTATTTCTTTCTCTTGTCTGATTTCTCCAGCTAGGACTTCCAGTACTGTGTAGAATAACAGTGGTGAAAGTGTGCATCCTTGTTGTGTTCAGATTTCAGGGGTAAGGCTTTCAGTTTGTCTCCGTTCAGTATGACACTAGCTGTGGGTCTGTCATATATGGTTTTAATTATGTTGAGGTATGTTCTTTCTATACCCAGTTTTTGAGGGTCTTTATCGTGAGGGGATGTTGAATTTTCAGCATCAATTGCAATGATTGTATGGTTTTTATCCTTCAGTCTGTTTTTATGATGTAACACATTGATTTATTTGCATATGTTAAACCATTATTGCATCCTAAGGGTAAATCCCACTTGGTCATGATGAATAATCTTTTAAATGTATTGTTGAATTTGGTTTGCTACCACTTTGTAGAGGATTTTTGCATCAATATTCTTCAGTGATATTGGCCTATAGTTTTTTATTTTCTATTTATGTATTTATTTATTTATGATGTGTCTTTGTCTGGTTTTGTTATCAGGATAATCCTGGCCTCATAAAATGAATTTGGAAGTATTCCCTCCACCTCTGTTTTTCGAATAGTTTAAATAGTTTGAGTAGGATTGGTATTAGCTCTTCTTTAAATGTTTGGTAGAATTCAACAGTGAAGCCATTGGGTCCTGGGCTTCATTTTACTGGTAAGCTTTTTTTTTTTTTTTTTTTGAGGCAGAGTTTTGCTCTTGTTGCCCAGGCTGGAGTGCAATGGCATGATCTCAGCTCACTGCAACCTCCGCCTCCTAAACTCAAGCAATTCTCCTACCTCAGCCTCCCGAGTAGCTGAGATTACAGGCATGCACCACCATTCCCAGCTAGTTTTGTATTTTTAGTAGAGATGGGTCAGGCTGGACTCAAACTCCCGACCTCAGGTGATCCACCCACCTTAGCCTCCCAAAGTGCTGGGATTATAGGCTGAACCACCGTGACTGGCCCTGGGAACCTTTTAATTATGGCTTTAATCTTGTTACTTATTATTGCTCTATTCAGGTTTTGAATTTCTTCCTGGTTCAATCTTGGTAGGTTGTATGTGTCTAGGAATTTGTCCATTTCTTCTAGACATAGTAGCTCATAGTAGCCACTAATGATTCTTTGAATTTCTGGGATAGCAGTTGTAAAATTTTCTTTTTCATCTCTGCTTTTATTTGCAATGTCTCTGTTTTTTCTTAGTCTGGGTGAAGGTTTGTCAATTTTATTTAACTTTTCAAAAAAATAGTCTTTCATTGCTTTTTTATAGTGTTTTCTTCATTTTAATTTTATTTATTTCTGCTTGATCTTTATTATTTCTCCTCTGTTGGTTTGGGTTTTGGTTTGTTCTTGTTTTTCTAGTTCTTTAAGATGCATGATTACATTATTTATTTGAAGTTTTTCTTCTTTTTTGTTGGAGTCACTTACAGCTATAAACTTCCCTCTTCGTACTGCTTTTGCTGTATCCAGTGTGCTTCAGTATGTTATGTTTTCATTATCATTTGTTTCAATAAATTTTTCAACTTTCTGCTTAGTTTCCTCATTGACTCATTGGTCATTCAGGAGCATATTGTGTAATTTTTATGTCTTTATATAGTTTCCAAATTTTCTCTTATTGATTTCTACTTTTATTCCACTGTGGTCTGAAGAGATGCTTGATATTATTTCAATTTTTTGAATGTTTTAAAACTTGTTTTGTGACCTAACATATGGTCTATCCTTAAGAATGTTTCATGTGCTGCAGAACAGAATGTGTATTCTGCAGCAATTTGATGAAATGCTCTGTAAATACCTATTAGCTCCATTTGGCCGAGAGTGCAGATTAAATTTGAATTTTCTTTGTTTTCCATCTGGAAGATATTTCCAGTGCTTATAGTGGGGCGTTGAAGTCTCCCGCTATTATTGGATTGGAGTCTATCTCTTTAGGTCTAATAATATTTGCTTCATATATCTGGGTGCTCCAGTGTTGGGTGCATATATATTTAAAATTGTTATATCCTTTTGCTGAATTAACCTCTTCATTATTATATAGTGAACTTCTTTGTCTTTTCTTACAGTTTCTTCCTGTTTTCCTTTTATTGAAGATGATTTTGTCTGGTGATATGATTTAGTTTCTTGTTTTTTATTTTTTGTATATTCATTATATATTTTTTTGCTTTGAGGTTACCATGAAGCTTGCAAATACCATCTTATAACCCATCATTTTAAGCTGATAACAACTTAACATCATTTTCATAAACAAACAAACAAGGAATTAAAACTTATAAAGACTTGATGCCATAACTTCATACCCGTTTTCTTTTAACTTTTTTGTTACTACTTATATCTTATTGTTCCATTTTTCTTGAAAAGTTGTTTTAGTTATTATTTTTGATTGGATCATTGTTTAGTTTTTGTACTTAAGAGTAGTTCATAAACTGTGATTACAGTGTTGTAATATTCTCTGTTTTTCTGTATTCTCACTATTCAGTGAGTTTTGTATCTTCATTAACATTTCTTATTGCTCATTAACATACTTTTCTTTCTGATTTAAGTATTCCCTTTAGCATTTCTTGTGGGAAAGGTCTGGTGTTGCTGAAATCCCTCAGCTTTTGTTTGTCTGGTAAAAGGTTTATTTCTCCTTCAAATTTGAAAGATATTTTTGCCATATACATTCTAGGAAAAAATATTTTTGCCTTCAGCACTTTAATTATGTCATGCCATGCTCTCCTGGCCTGTAAAGTTCCCACTGAAAAGTCTACTGTCAGATGTATTGGAACTCAATTTTCTGTTATTTGTTTCTTTTCTCTTGCTGCTTTTAGCACCCTTTCTTTATCCTTGACCTTTGGGAGTTTGATTAAATGCCTTAGGAGTCTTCTTTGGATTAGATCTCCTTGGTGTTCTATAACCTTCTTTTACTTGGGTATTGATATATTTCTCTAGGTTTAGGAAGTTCGCTGTTATTATCCCTTTCTACTCCTATCTTTTTCTCTACCTTCTCTTTAAGGCTAATAACTCTTAGATTTGCCCTGTTGCGGCTTTCTAGATGCTGTCCATGCACTTCATTGTTTTTATTTTTTTTTCTTCGTTTTTCTCCTCTGACTGTGTGCTTCCAAATAGCCTGTCTTCAAGCCCACTAATTCTTTCCTCTGCTTTATCAATTCTTCTTTTAAAAGACTCTGATGCATTCTTTGGTATGACATTTGCATTTTTCAGCTCCAGAATTTCTGCTTGATTCTTTTTAATTATTTCAATGTCTTTTTTAAATTTATCTGATAGAATTTTGAATTCCTTCTCTGTGTTATCTTGAATGTCTTTAAGTTTTTTTCATTCAGATATTGTGAATTCTCTGTCTGAATTCAAAGGTCACATATCTCTGTTTCTCCAGGATTGTTCCCTGATGTCTTATTTAGTTCATTTGGTGAGGTCATCTTTTCCTGGATCATCTTGATACTTGTAGATGTTAATGTGTCTGGCCATTGAAGAGTTAGGTATTTATTGTAGTCTCCACAATCTGAGCTTGTTTGTATGCATCCTTCTTGGGCAGGCTTTCCAGATATTCAAAATGACTTAGTTGTTGTGATTTAAGCTGTATCTTCCTTATGGGGGACCTCAAGTTCCCTAATGCTGTGGTTCTTATAGACTCATAGAGGTACTATATTGATGGTCTAGGTCAAGATCCCAAAGAATTCTCTGGATTACCAGGCAGAGATTATTGTTCTCTTCCCTTACTTTCTCTCAAACAAAGTCCCTCTGTCTGTTCTGAGCCACCTGGAGCAGAGGGTAGAGTGGCACATCACCCCTGTAGGCACCACCCATAGCTTGCACTGGGTCAGACCTGAAGCCAGCACAGCACTGGTTCTCACCTAAGGCCTGCTGTAAACCATTCCCTGGCTCCTGCCTATTTTTGCTCAAAACTCTGAGGCTCTACAATCAGCAGGTAGCAATGCCAGCCAGGCCTGTGTTCTTTCCTTTAGGGCAGTGAGTTGCCCCAGGACCTAGATCGGTTCAGAGGTGCCACCTGGGAGCCAGGGACTAGAGTCAGAAACCTTAGAAGTCCACTTGTTGTTCTATTGTACTGTGGTTAAGCTGGCAACTCAAATAAGGAGATGCAGTCCTCCCATTTTTGCCTCCCCTTTCCAAAGGCAGAAGAGCCTCACCATGTGGCCACTGCCACTTCAGGCCTATGGGGAGTACTGCCAGGCTACTGCCATTGTTCCCTAAGGCCTAATGGCTATTTAATCAGCTTCTAGTGAATGTTGTCAAGCCTGAGACTCAACCGTCATGGCAGTGGGCTTCCTCTCTTCCCCAGAGAAGGTCCAGAAATGCCATCCAAGAGTCAAGTCCTAGAATCAGAGACCTCAGAGCCCACTTCATGCTCTACCACCCTGTGGCTGAGCTGGTACCTAAGGTGCAAGACAATGTCCCCTTTACTTTTTCCTCCACTTCTCTCAAGCAGAAGGAGTCTCACCCTGTAGCCACCACAGCTGGAAATGTGCTGAGTCTCACCTGAAGCCAGTAAGTCTCAGAGTCTCACTCAATGTTCTTAATGTAGTACCTGGGTATTGCTTCTGGTTATTATTCTGGTTATTCTTTTGTTAAGGGCATGTTACAAATCTTGCCATGACTGAGTTCTTCCCTTCAAGGCAGTAGGTTCCTTTCTGGTACATGGTGTTTCTAGAAATGTCATCAGGAAGCTAAGGTCTGAACAGGGGCTGTAAGACTGACTGGTGCCCTATCCTGCCCTGGCTGAGCTGGTATCCAAGAGGCAAGACAGAGTCCTCCCCACTCTTCCCTCTCTGATCCTCAAGCAGAAGGAAGGGGTCTCCTTTGCAGCCACAAACTATGCAGCCTGAGGTTAGTGGAAAGGTGATGCCAGCAGTCCCCTAGCAGTCCTGGCTGGTGTCTCAGTAGGTCATGACCCCCTCTCTCCCTCAGCCCACACTGACTCTGGGCCCAGAGCACTTTAGCTCATGATGGCAAGGCTTGGGGGAACTGAAGTTCCAAACACTGGGATTGGCAATTCTCCTTTGTGTGGGGCTTGTTTAAATTCTCCCTCCTTGGGCGAGCGTCACCTGAG
Source organism: Homo sapiens (assembly GCF_000001405.40). Classification (NCBI taxonomy): domain Eukaryota; kingdom Metazoa; phylum Chordata; class Mammalia; order Primates; family Hominidae; genus Homo; species Homo sapiens. Next base: position 188,465,695 of record NC_000002.12, read on the forward strand.
TTTGGCCTGGTTTTGCTTTCTGCTATTAACAAGGGCAGCACTGAGTTCAATGCCTCAGAATTGCTAGCTCTTACTCTCCCCAGTGCACAGCAATGCTCTCAGAAACACCAGGCTGCCTCTCTGAGCAGGGTTGCCTCTACTGAGGGATGGCGGAGGGGTGGGGTCTGAGATTCAAGACTGTTTTTCCAGTGCCTCTTTCCGTGGTATGAAGGTAAAACCAGGTAGTGTGAGTGCTTACCTGATTTTTGGCTCTTATGAAGGTGTGTGTGTGTGTATATGTGTGTGTGTGTGTGTGTGTAGATAGTTGTTAACTTGGTGTCCTCACTGGGGGGACAATTGAGAGAGCCTTCTATTTTGCCATTTTGTTCTACCCTTCTCCCCAGTCAGGCTATTTTAGTCCCTGTCTTCTGAAAGTGCAATGCAAAGGTCACCAGTTATCTCCATGTTCTGCAACTCATGGCCATTTTTCAGGCTTTCTTTTTGTAGAGCTCTCAATATCATTTAATCATGTTTTCTCTTAATAAAAACATACTTCATTTGGATACCAGAAGGGCACACTTTGTGGTTTTTATTTGACCTCAGTGGCTGGTTTTTTTTTCCCCCCCCGGAGTCTTGCTCTGTCACCCAGGCTGGAGTGCAGTGGTGCAATCTCAGCTCACTGCAAGCTCCGCCTCCCAGTTTCACACCACTCTCCTGCCTCAGTCTCCCGAGTAGCTGGGACTACAGGCACCTGCCACCATGCCCAGCTAATTTTTTTTTTTTTTTTTTTTGTATTTTCAGTAGAGACGGGGTTTCACCATGTTAACCAGGATGGTCTCGATCTCCTGACCTCGTGATCCGCCTGCCTCGGCCTCCCAAAGTGCTGAGATTACAGGTGATGGCTGTTTTTTATCTATCTCTAGCTTGCTCTTCTTATTCTGCCTCATTCATAAATTTGGCATGCTTTTAGGCTCAATTATCATTTATCTATTTACATATACTTCTTAACTAATCTCATAATGTGTGAGCTGGTTACTTTATAAGTCATGTCTCTATTCCTACCCTACCTACCAGATCATGACTCATGTATCCAACTACTAGCTCAGCATCTCATCTTTGCTGTCTGGTAGGTATCTCAGAACTAACATATCCAAAACAGAAGTCTTGACAGGTAGGGATACTCACCGCTATACTAATAAGGAAAGGCTTCAAAACAAAAGTCTTGAATTCTGCCTTTCAAACTTTGCTTTCCCCAAGTGTCTCTTTCATAATAAATGGCACTATGATTCACTCAGTTAAGAAGAAAAAAAAAAGTAGCAGCTGTCCTTGAATTTTCTTTCTGTTACCCTCAATATTCATCCATCAATTAGACTGGTCAGGTTTCCCTTAGAAGTATGAATCAAGCAAGACTGACAAGGGTCTGGGGACATGACACAGTTGAAAAAAAAAAAGCTTGTGGCAAAAGTTAAAAGAGAAGTCTCATTATTTTCAAGAATTGGAGTTAGGAGGATAATAATGCTAAATCTCAGGGGTTGGAAAGACCTGGAATTAAACTGGAACAAAGAGTAGAGAGTTCTTGTTGCTATTGAGGCAACCTTCTCTTTCTGCCTGGAAGTGTTGCATATTTTCTCTCTGCCTGTAATATTCTTAATTTTATGATAACATGCCTAGGTCTGAAACTTACAGTTTGAGATTTTTCATAATCTTTTTTAATTCTCTGAACTTTCTCTCCATAATTTTATCAGTTATACCCTCCTCTTTATGTTTTTCTCTATGGTAATCTCAGTATCAAGATTTTGGCAGTTTTATTTAATATATCTTGGTATTTATTTAGTATATTTATTTACTTTTTTGTAGTCATCTAGGAGAATTTCTCCACTTTATCTTTGAACTCAGTAATACATCCGTAAGCTGTACACACAGTTCTCCAATATAGGCCATTTATCATTGCTTTAAAAAAATCTCAGCTATTATATTTCCTACTAATATTTTCCATGTGGTTCACTTATCGATAACTCATTTTTTTCCTCATTTACAAATATCTTTCCCTTTGTTTTTAGGCATATTGACATATGAGATACTAAATAAACATTTTAAAAGATATGAAAAAATAAATGATTAAGTCAATCAAATGAAGATTCTGTCACAGATGGTCTAGTGCTCGCTTTATGAATTTCTCAGAGGCTGCCTGTCATAGATGATATAAAAGACATGTCTGATTAAGTGATGAATTGAATTAGATGCTAACATAATTTCATTCTGTTCTTAGGATTTGTTTCCATAAAAAGCTTAAATAAAGAAAATGTCTCTATTTCCTTACTAGAGTCCATTTATCTTTCATATTTGGTATCAGAACAATCAACAGCGTTTGCTTGACTTCAATGAAACTTTTGTCTGAAAATATGTATGACTGAATCAAATTGTTCACTAATTTTTATTGCTTTAAGGATATATATTATTTTAACAGATTTCTTTTGTTTAGTAGAACTGTCTGTCAGAGAATGATCTTTGATGTCATTATTAGCTTGTTTACAGTGTTTTCTTTGATGAAATTATTCATTGTTTTTATTTGTATAGTTTGTTCATAATATTGTGTGATATGTGTAATAAAGGAAAAGTATAGTTTTGTTACTCAGATGACTGGATAACCTTAGAGAATTTCCTTACTCTAAAAATATCTTCAAAATTATTAAAGATTATTTTTAAAATTGACATACACTTTAAATAAAGTTGGGAGCTAATATATGTGTCTGTAAATCAATAAAGTGTATATGATTTCATAACTTGATTTGCTCATTTGATTTGTAATTCAACATATATTAACTATAGATATGTACTTGATACTAGAGAAGCAAAGATAACACCATTATTTTGAAAAAACTAGATTTATTCACGTTTCTAGGACATCTTTTGCAATTCATTTGAGGGAACAGTTTTTATAGTGAAATGAAAGCACTCATTAGTGTGAGAGAATGAGAAGGCTAGCTCCTTTTCAGTGGATATTTTGAAAGGAAAATTTGAAAATTAGTTCAGTGAAATAGATTGGGGTTAGTTGCCAGAAATCTTTCCAAATATGATTGAGTAGACTGTCAAATAAAAAAACAAATCTGGACTTAGGTACGAGAGACTTTATTGGAAAGGATGTTTGCAACGAGGGGAGGGGGGCAATTGCAATAAGGAAAATATGCCAACTATAAGATCAGCAAGTGTCTCAAAGGGTAAGCAGTGAAGTGTTTTGTTTTGTTTTAGGGAATAGTAAGCAAGACTAGAAAGAATTGGGTGTAGGAAAGTAGGACAAATGAGGGTGGTGCGATTAGGGATAGGAGCTCAGAGAATGAGGTACCCTTTAAAACATAGTCAGCCTGTTATTAGGAGAGGATGTAAATGAAGGGTTGAGGCTGCTGAGGCTGAATATGGATTAGAGTTTAGGGGCCTACGGGAAGGCGTAAAGCTTAACTAAAGTTTGATTAAGTCGATGTAGCAAATATTTTGTCCAGTTTGGTCAGTGGCCCAAACAGTTCAGCTAATCATTTATGAAGGAAATAATGGCATTTTGGAGGTCTAGGCCTGGCCTTGTCATAGGGACACAAGGGAAGTGTCCTGCATCTCATCTAAGTTATATGGGGAAGGGTTCCTTGCAATAAGCTGTTTCTGGAACACAAAGGTGTGGGATAATTTCTTTTAACTTTTGCTTGTTTTCCGGGATCACAAGTGCATTAGTCCATTCTCACATTGATATAAAAAGATACCTGAAACTGGGTAAATTATAAAGAAATGAGGTTTAACTGGCTCACGGTTCTGCAGGCTGTACAGGAAGCATAGTGGTTTCTGCTTCTGGGGAGGCTTCAGGAACCTCTAGTCATGGCAGTAGGCAAAGGGGGAGTGAGGCATCTCACATGGTGTGAGCAGGAGCAAGAGAGAGTGAATAGCAGTGGTGAAAGTGTGCATCCTTGTGTTCCAGATTTCAAAGGAAAGGCTTTCAGTCTTTCTTCATTTAGTATGATAGTAGCTGTGGGTCTGTCATATATGGTTTTTATTATGTAGAAGTATGTTTCTTCTATACTCATTTTTTATGGTTTTTATCATGAAAGATGTTGAATTTTATCAAATGCTTTTTTAGCATCTATTGAAATGATCGTATGGTTTTTAATCCTTTGATCTGTTTGTATGATGCAGCACACTGATTGATTTGCCTATGTTGAATCATTCTTTCATCCCAGAGATAAAATCCCACTTGGGATTCATGATGAATGATATTTTTAATGTATTGTTGAATGCAGTTCGCTAGTACTGTGTTGAGGATTTTTGCATCAGTATTCATTAGTGATATTGGCTTATAGTTTTCTTTTTTTCAGATGTGCCTTTATCTGGTTTTAGAGTCAAGGTAATACTGGCCTCATAGAATGAGTTTGGAAGTATTCTCTCCTCCTCTATTTTTTGGAATACTTTGGGTAGTATTGGTATTAATTCTCTAAATGTTTGGTAGAATTGAGCAGTGAAGCCATCAGGTCCCAGGGTTTTCTTTACTGTGAGGCTTTATTACAGCTTTGATCTTGTCACTTGTTATTGATTTGTTCATGTTTTGAATATCTTCCTGGTTCAATCGTGATACATTTTATGTCTCTAGGAATTTGTCCATTTATTCTAGATTTTTCTAATTTATTGGCTTGCAGTTGCTCATAGTAGCCACTAATGATCCTTTGAATGTCTGCTGTATCAGTTGTACAGTCTCCTTTTATGTGTCCGATTTGATTTATTTGGATATTTTCTCTTTACTAATTTTGAGTTTGGGTTGCTCTTGTTTTCCTAATTTTTAAGATGTATCATTAGGTTGTTTATTTGAAGCTTTTCTTCTTTTTTGATGGAGTCACTTATGGCTATAAACTTCCCTCTTAGTACTGCTTTGGCTGTATTCCATAGGTTTTCATATACTGAGTTTCCATTGTCATTTGTTTCAGGAAAATTTCCAATTTCCTTCTCAATTTCTTCACTAACCCACTCATCATTCTGGAGCATATTGTTTAATTTTCATATATTTGTATAGTTTTCAGAATTCTTCTTGTTATTGATTTCTAGTTTTATTCAGTTTTGGTCAGAGAAGATGCTAGATATTATTTCAGTTTTTTGAATATTTTAAACTGTTTTGTGATCTAACATATGATCTATCCTTGAGAATGATCCATGCTCTGAGGAAAATAATGTGTATTCTGCAATCACTGGAGTAAATGTTCTGTAAATATCTGTTACCTCCATTTTGTCTAGAGTGTAGATTAAGTTTGAAGTTGCTTTGTTAATTTTTTGTCTGGAACATCGGTTTAGTGCTAAAAGTGGGATGTTGAAATCTCCAGCTATTATTGTATTGGAGTCTAACTCTATATTTTAAAAATTGTTATATCCTCTTGCTGAATTGACCACTTCATTATTATATAGTGACCTTCTTTTTCTCCTTTGGTACTATTTGCCTTGAAATCTATTTTATCTGAAATAAATATAGCTACTCCTACTCTTTTTTGGTTTCTCTTGGCATGGAATACCTTTATACCTTTATTATCAGTCTATGAGTGCCTTTATAGGTGAAGTGTGTTTCTTATAGGCAACAGATCAGTGACTCTTCCCACCACCGCCCACCCGCCCCACCTTGTTTAGTTAGTCTATGTCTTTTGATTGGAGAGTTTCGTCCATTTATGTTCAGTGGTATTATTGATGACTAAGGACTTACTCCTGCCGTTTTATTATTTGTTTTCTGGTTGTTTTGTGATCTTCTCTTCCTTTTTTCTTTCCCTCCTGTCTTCCTTTTATTGAAGGAGATTTTGTCTGGTGATATGATTTAGTTTTTTGCCTTTCATTTTTTGTGTATCCCTTGTATGTTTTTTGGTTTGAGGTTACAATGAGGCTTGCAAGTATTACTTTATAACACATTATCTTAAGCTGATAACAACTTAACACTGTTTGCATAAACCAACTAACAAGCAAAAATAAATGAAATAAAAACTCTACATCTTAACTATGTCCCTGCTTTAACTTTTTATTATTTCCATTTATATCTTATTGTACTATGTCCAGAAAAGTTGTTGTAGTTATTATTTTTGATTGTTTCATGGTTTAGTCTTTCTGCTTCAGAGTAGTTTACACACCACAGTTACAGTGTCACAGTATTCTGTTTTTCTGTGTTCTTACCATTACCTGTGAGTTTTGTATCTTTGGTGTTGCTTATTCCTCATTAATGTTCTTTTCTTTCTGACTAAAGTACTTGCTTTAGCATCTATTCTAGGACAGGTCTCGTGTTGATGAAATAACTCAGCTATTGTTTGTCTGGGAAAGTCTTTATGTCTCCTTTATGTTTAAAGGATATTTTCACTGTATATACTATTCTAGGATAAAAGATTTTTTTCCTTTAGCAGTTTAAATATGTCATGACATTCTCTCTTGGCCTGTAAGGTTTCCACTGGAAATTCTGCTGCCAGATGTATTGGAACTCCATTGTGTGTTATTATTTATTTCCTTTCTTTTGTTGATTTTAGCATCTTTTCTTTATCCTTGATCTTTGGGAGTTTGATTATTAATGGCCTTGAGATTGTCTTCTTTGTGTTAAATCTGCTTGGTGTTGTATAACCTTCTCGTACTTGGATATTGCTCTCTTACTCTAGGTTTGTGAAGTTTTCTGATATTATCCTTTTGAATAAACTTTCTACTCCTATCTCTTTCTCTGTTCCCTCTTTAAGGCCAATTAACACTTAGATTTGCTCTTTTGAGGCTATTTTCTAGATTCGGCAGGCACGCTTCATTCTTTTTAATTCTTTTTTTCTTTTGTCTCCTCTGACCATGTATTTTTCAATAGCTTGGCTTCAGGCTCATTAATTGTTTCTTCTGTTTGGTCAATTCTGCTATTAAAAGACTCTGATATGTTCTTTACCATGTCCATTGCATTTTTCAGGTCCAGAATTTCATTTCTGCTTGATTCCTTTTAATTATTTCAATCTCTTTCTTTAATTTATCTAATAGAATTCTGAATGCCTTCTCTATCTTGAATTTCTTTGAGTTTCTTCAACAAAGCTATTTTGAATTCTCTGTCTGAAAGGTGACACATCTTTGTTTTTCCAGGATTGTTTTCTCATGCCTGATTTAGTTTATTTGGTGAGGTCATGTTTACCTGGATTGTCCTAGTACTTGTAGATGATTGTCTGTGTCTGGGCATTGAAGAGTTAGGTATTTATTGTAGTCTTTGCAGTCTGCTCTTGTTTGTACCTGTCCTTCTTGGGAAAGCTTTTCAGGTATTCAAAAAGACTTGGATGTTGTGATCTAAGTTGTATCTGCTTTGGGGGGGACCCCAAGCCCAGTAATGCTGTGGTTCTTAGAGACTCATAGAGATACTGCCCTGATGGTCTTGGACAAGATCTGAAAGAATTCTCCAGATCACCATGCAGAGAGTTGACCTCTTCTCTTCTTCTTTTCTTTTTCTTTCAAACAAATGGGGTCTCTCTTTCTCTCTCTCTCTCTCTCTCTCTGTTCTGAACCACCAGAAGTAGGGTGGAGTGACATACTGTGTTGGGTCAGACCTGAAGCCAGAACAGCACTGGTTCTTGCCCAAGACCTGCTGTAACCCCTGGCTATTGCCTGTTTTCTCTCAAGACCATGGGGCTTTACAGTCAGCAGGTGGCAAAGCCAGCTAGGCCTCTGTCCTTCCATTCAGGGCACTGTGTTATCCCAGGCCCCAGGCAGGTCCAGAGTTGCCTATTGGAAGCCGTGAACTAGAGTCAAAACCACTTAGAAGTCTTTCTGGTGTTCTATTGTACTGTGGCTGAGCTGAAACCACAAGACACAGTCCTTCTCAATCTTTCATCCCCTTTCCAAAGGAAGGTATGCCTCACCCCATGGCAACTGTCACTACAGGCCTGCAGTGAGTACTGCCAGCCTACTGCTGATGTTACCTTAAGGTCCGTGGGCTCTTTAGTCAGCTTGTGCTGAATCTTGCCAGTCCTGAGACTCACCCTTCTGGGCAGTGGACTCGCCTCTGGCCAAGGACAGGTCCAGAAATGTTGTGCAAGAGCCCAGTTTTGGAATCAGCAACCCCAAGAGACGAGTTGGTTCTCTACCCCACTGTGGCTGAGCTGGTATCTAGGTGCAAGACAAAGTCCCCTTTACTTTTCCCTCCACTTTTCTCAAGCTGAAGGAGTCTTGCCCCATAGCCACCACAGTTGGGAATGTGCTGAGTCTCACTTGAAGCCAGCAAGCCTCAGAGTCTCACCCAAGTTTCTTGATGTACCACCTGAGTATTACTGCTGGTTATTCAATGCCCAAGGGCTCTTCAGTTAGTAGGTAATGAAGGCTACTAGTACTGAGTTTTTCCTTTCAAGGCAAAGAGAAAGGATTATCTTCTGGTGCAAGATGTCTAGAAATGTTGTATTGGAGCTAGAGCCTGGAACAGGTACCTGATAACTCTGACAGATGCCCTACCCTGCTGTCACTGAGCTGCTATCCAAGATGCAAGACAGAGTCCTTTCCACTCTTCCCTCTTCTCTCCTTGAATGGAAAGAAGGGGTCTCTTTTGGAGCTTAATTGCCTCAGCTTGTGTCTCAGTAGGTCACGTGCCCCAGCATTCTACTAGCTCTGGACCCAGTTCATCACTAGGACTCACCTAAAACTTGCATTGCTTATGGCCTAGACTGCCTTTCCAGTTTATTTGGAGCCCCAGAACACTTTAGCCCACAGTGGCAAGGCTTGTGGTAACTAAAGTTTCGACAGCTGGGATCAGACATATCCCTCTGGCTAAGGCAGTTTTAAAAGCTCCCTCCATGGCCAGGGGTCAGTTGAGTTTGGTGTGGTTTTCCTTTTTGTTATAACAGGATAACACTGAGTTGAACGCCTTACAATTGCTGTGGTCTCCCTTCCCCAGCACTCAGAAATGCTCCTGCTGAGGGTAGGAGAGGAGTGATGCTGGTGATTCAGAACTGTTCCTTCTACCTTTTCAGTGCCTCTTTCAGTGATACTGAGTTAAAACCAGGCACTGTGAGTGCTCATCTGATGTTTGATTCTTGTGAAGGTTCTTTTGTTTGTTTGTTTGGATAGTTGTTAAATTGATGTCTTTGTTGGGGAGACGATTGGTGGAGCCTTCTATTCTGCCATCTTGTTCTGCCTCCCAAAAGTAACAATTTTTTAATAATAGGGAAATGATTCATGCATGTGTTTGTAGTCACTAAAACAATATTTGTGAAAAGTTTCTCTATAAAGAAGGATTTATGTTACACCATAAATTGAGATAAAGTCAATTTACATAGAATTGTATTTCTTAACTTATTCACATTAAAATTTTAACTATATATTTTATTTCAATTATAAAAGTACATTAAAACATGCATTATTAATACATAAAATAAATAGTACATTGAATGCCAACCTAGTGTCACGTATTGTATTATACACGTTGGGGTACTGAACAAAGTAGCTAGTATCTACATACTTTCTGGTGGAGTTGTAAGACGTGTTTTACAAAAAAAGTGTAGAGTGCACATTGCATCAAATAAAATGCTAAGAAGTGGGGTTTGGATAGTTAAATTATAGTTTATTTCAAAAGAATGACTTATCTGATATATATCGACATTTATATCTATGCATTTTGTGAGCAAGCAAAAGTGCTTCTGGTGTTTTAGAGTCATTGTATTATCATGTCATTATATATCCTCCATGTTTGCTCCAATGAACTTTATATAATTATGTGAAGAGTTTTTTTTTGTTGTTATTCTTGTTCCATTTATATGCCCCCAAGTTGTTTATATTTTATTTTTTTAATTTAAAAGCCACGCTATTGTTTAATTTTAAGAATTTTTAAATCATATAGTATTAAACTCCTTTTTTTATATTTCACAATCTTCTTTTGTTGAAAATGTCCACCTCATAGTGATGAAATTTGAGTAGTGGACAGGTATATTAAATTTTGTCTGCTGATTAATAAACTTCATAGTATTTTGTTACTTTATTTTTCCAGAGAAGACAGATTTTACATTTGCATATATTACGTTCTTTTTCTACTAGTTTATTTTTATTTTTTCCTTATTTCTTCAGGATATGCTCAATAAATAACCAGGTCTGTTAAGATATAGGTGAAAAGTGACTTTTGAAATGATACCAAATATATTATATTCTCTGTTGTGTTGTATTCCATTATGTATATACAGTCTGATGGCAAAATCCTCAAAAGAAATTAAGGGTTTTGAAAAAAAAGAGAAGTACAGTAATTGAAAATGCATAATTTCTTGGTCTATTGGTATAATATGTGTGGGAGATAAACAGCCAGCCTCTTGAAAGGACTGCAGTAGAACTAGTTTGCTCAGGCAACAACTAGGTTTCAAGAAGAGCGGCAGAGTGGATAAAATCTTTAGAAAAAATGCGAGTGCATTTTGATAATGATTTACTGTGAATGCCAGATGACACAGTGAAATGTTTCCAGATGATGGGAGAAGTGAAAGATGTGGTTACAGAATGTAATGCATTAGAATTAGATTCTCTGAGTGATGAGAGTAACCTGAGCTGCTTATGTTGACTCACATACTTCGGAATAAAGAATGTGATAAAATTATGAAGGTCTCCTAGCAGGAAGTGGTGGTGAGACTTTGAGACTTAGAGTGGAATGGGGGAAGCTATTTCCAGAATCATGCAGAGCTTTTGGTCTCTCGTGAATTTATCTCTAACAGCTGAGACCTCTAGGCAATAGTGGGCAGAGAGTGGGGAAAGTTTTACCCAGAATTCAGTTACTGTCTTGTCATCTGAAGATGGAACACACCAAACTGGGCTCTTACACCAAGCACATGAGTTTCCTTTGATTTCTGTTGAAGCAGGTCTCTAGGTTATCAAGGAAGAACATTATTAAACAGTTTTATTTAATGTGGTTGAATTCTAAAAATGAAAAAAATGCAAATTTTTAAAAAATAGCAAAATATTTTAATTCTAAAAAGTATTTGTGTTACCCTGTAATATACCTGTAACACTAGTCCTCACAGAAGATAAAGTAGAAGTGAAAGGCTATCTTAATGTCAATTCATGAATATTCTGTTGCTAGAGCAGCAAAGTTATTTCTGAGTGTTGTATCAGTAAGATTAACTATTTTGTGGACCCCAAATATAGATTACAATGCAGTACCAATAAATATTTAATCATAACTTTCTTCTTAGACCTTAATGTGAATTGTCTCTGAGTCTCTGAGGGAATTACTCCAGAAATCTTTTTGTTGTTGTTGTTTTTTACACGAAGTCATTAAATATATAAAATGGAAATATCTCAATTGGACAACAGTACATAAAGTCCTTTACCTAAGCTGCTGAATTTGATGTGTAACCCTCATAGTGAATACACTACAGAACAGGTATTAAGAGGACCTCTTGGATGGATAAATAATGCATATAAAAAGAGCACTAAATTTAGATCCCATGCTATATCTAAGACAAAGATTGTAGCTAATATCTTCTGAGCTCAATATGTACCAAATACTGTGCCAAGTACTTTCATACCTTTCCTAATGTGTAAAACAATCTTAAGTGGTAGGTAATTTTATCCTATGTTTTAACCACTGCTCCTAGTATATCACCTGTCTTTGTGACTTTGTAATAAACACGAAACTCTTCTGGGCCTCAGGTAAATAAAAAGTAAAGTGTTTATATACACACCTCTTGTCAACAAGCTGAGGAAAAAGTATTGATCTTTCTTCTCCTTAAGTTTGCAAATAAATATAGTTAATGATGGATATATAATAGAAAAAAGACAAAATTGAAGAACTTGGGAGGAATTTCTGTGAGACATTCCTATCTGCTTGTGCCACTCACGTTATTAAGTACTTGTGTTTTTTCTTACCCAATGTCCTTTGAGGCATTTTAGAATATTGTTTGTAAATATTTTTAAAAATTTAAAAAGCCTTTATAATTAAAACCACATTAGCAAAAGAGAGGTCAGTCAACAGTCCTTTGTTTATGTTTTAATATTTTGTCACTTTTACAGGATTTAAGTCGTGGAACTGAACATTTATTTGGCTGATCCTCATCATGAACCGTGCTTTTAGCAGGAAGAAAGGTAAGTGTGGTCATTTTTTAAAACTTGGGAGTCAAGCCAATGTTGCTATGAACATAAGCAGCGATGTTAAGAAATCAGTTTTTCTTGTTGTCAAACCACCTGGCCCAGAAATGAAGTTAGATTAGAGCAACACAAATCTGCAAACGTTGCTAATTAGCTTTCCTTAGTTATCACCCTAGTGAAAGATCAAAGTTGTTTATTACACTGAGTTCACAATACATATGTGATAATATGTCGCCTGGCAACTTGAAGCTTGTTGTGAAATTGCAAAGAATAAAATGATCTGAAACTTTGTCCTAACTTTAGCTTATGTAGCCATATAATACTAAATTCCCTGGGCTTACATAAGATTATGGTAACATAAATTCATTCATAATTGTGTGTGTGTGTGTGCACAGGCTTCATGTATCATTGAACAATATGTGAGGATTGGTAGTAGATAGATTGAAAGCAATGAGGCCACAATAAGTTTGTTATTAATTTTTAGGTAGGAATTTAAATAACTACGAATGTAGTATATTATAGTGATCACTATAGGACTGAAAGAAACAGCTAGTTAGATGTTGTTTTTTAATGGGCAGAAAAACATGGCATTTGACAAACTATTTTATGATGCACTTATAAAGAAAGATAGAAAAATAAATATAACTTTGCGTAGGTCAGTGAAGTTTAAATAATGTATCCTTTCCATTCTCAAAGGAGTTCTCTAGTGGAGAGCATGGGGCTCTCTCCTGTTTTACATTATTGATGAATTGGGGAAGAATGCTTAAATAATGATAATCAAATTCATAGGTGATTGAAAGCAAGAAGGTGATGATACATGAATGCTGTAGTAGGATTACAGATGTGTGAGGAAAAAATGACAAGTTAGGCCTTATTCCACACTATAAACTTACTAAGATACTGCAAATTGTCAAACAAGGGCCCAGAAAATCTAATACTTTTATCATGATTCAAATATTGCTGTTATTTGGAAGATGCATCTTGAATGCTGTCAGAGTAAAAATGGCTGAAGAATAAAGTCAACAGTGTGAGTATCAAAGGCTCTGTGTCATTTTCTAATGTATGGATGGATAATGAATAGTCCAGAACTATGACTAGTGTTCTGTTCAGTATCAGGCAGTTGGGCACTGGGTGTTCTCCCTTTAAAAGGTTACAGTGTTAACTGACACATAGTAACGTGCCCAGATGAGAAAGACTGAGATGACTTCAGGACTTTCAGCCATGTAACAGGAAGCATGACTGAGAACCATTCATGTGTTAATGAGAGCTGTCTTTCAATATTTGAAGGACTGCCATTTAGCCATGGGGTTGAGTTTAGTAAAGGACAAATAGGTGTAAATGATAATGTCACTGATTTAATATAGGGAAAATGAATTCCAAGAAAGTCAGGTAAATGTTTAATTAAATTACTCAAATTACTAGCTTTTTTTGGTCTCTGAAGTGAGAGGTGTTCAAACATTTGGATGTGGCAGAGAAGATTAATGTATTCAGTGAGAATTTAGATAATGTGACCTTTAAGGCACTCTTCAACTCTGGGAAGCTAGAAATTTATTATTTTACTTAATTTTCCTGAATAAGGGGAAAGCAAAATGACATTGATTATAGTCTGTAGCTGCTTCTGATTTACAACAGGTACCAAAAGTAAAATAGTGTTTCTTTCATTTTTACTAGTAACAAAATCTATAAATAATTACATGATATATTGAAGTTTTTGTTTTGTTTTATATAGAGATAGGATCTTGCTACGTTGCCAGGGCTGGTCTCAAACTCCAAGCATCAAGTGATCCTCCTGCCTTGGCCTCCCAAAGTGTTGGGATTATAGGCGGGAGCCACTGTGCTCAATCTGAAGTATGTTTAATAAAGTAATAGAAATCTTACATCACAACTTAACACTTTAATCACTCTAACTTATTTTTAATAAATACTTCTAGACCTTCTTTTTATATATATATGCTTATAATCCTCCTTTCCTATCACTTTAAAGTTGAAACTCCACATCTGTAATTTACTGTTTATTTGAAGGGGGTTTAGAATGGTTTTTCATTGAGAAATCCCAAGAGTTGGATAGTAATGTGAGTAACCAGTAATTGTATATTTGTCTTATTTGAACACAGTGGGAGTACAACCATAGGAATAGTGGAGTGATTTGGAGAATCAAGAAGCAGAAGCACTTGTTATTTCCTGATTTGCTTCATTCTCTTTGAATTTCTTTTGACTTCTCTTATTTTTCAGGTCTAATGATTTAGTATCATGAAATTATTCACTAATATTTTACTCCAACCTGAAGTTAAAACTTGAACTGAAAATTTTCCCTTAAGTTCACCAGTCAATCCTGACTCTATCATTTGGTGAAGTTGTTAAAGAAAAAATTTTAAGAGCCCCCGCTCCTGGTTTCAATCAATAACATTATTTCATTAAATTTTAATTTCAGATGAAAAACTTAAATTGTTTGAGAGAATTTGTATATCTGGATAAGCTGGAGCCATAAGCTATAATTATATCACTAGAGAATATTTTATTTAAGTCACGTTTCCAAAACTACCATCAACATACCCTGTGTACAGTATCCTAAACAAAGCAAGGTGGTCTTCTATCAGTAAAAGCTTATCTCTTTATTTCATAGATACCCAATATACTTGGCCATCACATGTAATCTTACTAAATGATCCAGGACCTCAGAAGCCTAAGGAAAAAAGACCATCTTAAACCTAAACATAATTGTGTTTTTTTTTTAAATTAAATCTCCAAATTAGTAAGTTTGTATTTCTTGATTGAATTCACTGATTTTCTTTGCAGATGCTCTAATGGTGTTAGAGTTACTCAGAGATTCTGAAGAGTGCTGAATATATTACAGTCATATCATTTTGAGCTCTTTTGAAAAGATCTTTAAAAATTAGTCTAATATAATCATAGACGAAATTTTAGTGATTGTCTTTGTTTTAGATTTTTTCCCAATGTTAATTTTCTTTTAATTAAAAAAATTTTATATTCTATTTATTACATCAAATATAAATCATTAAGTAAAAAAGTATAAAAATAACATGTGAATAAATGATTAAGTAATTCAACTAGTTACATTTTTTTAAACTTAGTTGACATACTATTGAGTAGATATCAAATGCACAGCACTTAAAATTTAATATTTAAATGTTACTTTCTTTTTTAACAAACATTTTATTCAAATGTATCTATTCATTAACCAGCATTTAGTTTTAAATTTAATGTACTCAAAAGTAGGTGTTTCACCATTGTAAGCTCTGATGATACAAAAATAATGAATTTACTCTATATTTCCTGATGAGTTCTTAATCTAGATGCATTTTGAAAACCTAAATTTATTGACCCAGCAATCAGAGTACATTGATATTTGTCAAATATGTTGAAATGTTGGCATTTTCCTTCATGTAAGTCTTCAATTTTGAGTTAGTGATTTTACTTTAATTCAAGGAAGAGGAACTCTTTCTAGAATGTCTATATTCCCATTTCTGCACATTTTCATATATCTAATACCTTCTATGAACACATATAGTGACCAAGGACCAGCATGTGTATTTCCTACTCAAGATTTAGTCCTATCTATAAGTTAATATAAAAAGTTTTATTTTGTCATTTTTTTGCCAAAGTATAAATTAGGATGACAGTAAGAACTCATTTTGGAAATCCTTCAGGTTTTATAAATGTACTGCTCATACCTGAGGATATGTAATAAACAAACACTAAATTATCAGTGCTTGATAATATGGATGCAGATTTTTGTCATTGTAGGAGCTACAGCTTATCCACTGGAATTTAATATTGTGATTATTTTAGTCTGTCAGCAGAAGCAGCTTGGTATACTCTTTTTAGGTCGCTGCAATATGAGTCTGTAACAGAGGCATTTTCATCAGTTTTCAAGTAATAGTGGTTTATAGGAGAAAGAAATTATTAATACCTCTCTGCCTCAGGATTGGTGTGACCCATCATAGTGAGAGTTTAGTCAGCGTTTACATACTCCTGAGATGTGTTGTATGTTTTGGAAAGGAGACATGAAAAGAATTAAGTGAAGGAGTTAAAAGGAGAAATTGGACATCTTAGTTTTCCTAAAGGTGTTTTTCTTGTTTTGTGTTTTATTGCCTTGGAAGAAGTATTGTGATTTACTTCTTTTAATGTATAAAAGCAAGACTATATTCCAAATCTAAGTGCAAATTATTCTTGAATTAATCATATTACTATCCATTAGCAATCACAAAAAGTATAGCTAAGATGACAATCCTTATAGAAAATACAAATTTCACACATTAAATGTCAACGTCAATATTTTTTGAAGCTTAGAATGTATTGCTGTTCAAAATATTTCACCCAAGTATGGCTATCATATATTCACTCTAGTAGTCAGAAATAGACCCAATTCTCTTGGCCCTTCATCTTTTGTATTGGAAATACTTGAGAATATTGCATTGTACCCCATAAACAAATTTAATATGAATACAGTGCATTATTATTCAAATAGTATAAAATAATTTACATTCCAAAAATATGTGTCATTTTCTCTATGTCTTCACATTAACCCAGTTTAAGAAGAACATATTAAGGGTATCAAATTAGTTTCTGTTAACAGCATTTAAAAAAATCCAAATTTAATGTTGAAACTACTTTGTTAGTAATACAATATTTCCTTCCAGTTTGTATTTGTATGTTTCATGGTAAAATAAATCTTTGATTTTGTTCTATTTATAATACTGATTCCAAATTTTAAACTCCCGTGAAAAATAAGATACGTACAAAACTACACTAATGGAGGCAAAATATCATTGAAGATTGAGAAGTCTTACTCCACATAAGTGCAGATTCAAAAAAAGCCAATCTGTTTCATGTAAATGTTAACATTTTTTTCTCCCCATTATGCATTCCTCAAAATATTGGGGAAAATATGTGGGCTATATTAATAAAGTTCAAAAATTAAATTGAAAATATTAGTAATACAAATATAAATAACAAGATATAAATAATATATAATACAATTACTTTTAATATATTCTATCCTTTTATTTCTAATATTTTTAACACTTATCTAAGAAACATTTTGATTTACTGCATTTGAGACTATTTATATCCAAAACTCCTGAGAGAAGACCTTCAATCAGTGTTTCCTCAAATTTAGAATAAAGATTTATCATAATATTATATTGATTTCCAAATGAACACAGTAAGTTGGTTAATTTCAGCTTCATACAAATGCAGTTGTTAGTATAATATGATAATTTCCCTTTAGAATAACTAAATCTTGATGCTACAATATAATATTTGCAAAGAGTTAAAGAGCAGATTATATTTTATTGTTCTAGGAATTAAGAAAAATAACCTATAATTCATGAGAGCATAAAGTGAAAGAAGAAAGATACTTGTTTTAAATCACAAATGAATGCAATTACTCATAGCCCACTGATGTGGTTTTTATATGTTCTTTTAAAATTTGGTATCATTTTTATTATTTGAAAACTTTAAAAAGAAAAGCTAGGGATTTTTATACCAAAGAAAGAATCCTATAATCACGCCCCAACTAAATTGTTCTTCTATCTGAGTGGTTATTCTTTGTCATTTTGGCAAAGAATCTCAGAATTAGAAATACTCTGTGTCCTAAATTACCATACAAATGGTAATGCGTGAATATGACACCATGGAAACCTAAAATTTAACTCTGTGTATTTTTTATTGCAGACAAAACATGGATGCATACACCTGAAGCTTTATCAAAACATTTCATTCCCTATAATGCAAAGGTAAAAATAGTTCATTTATTATTTAATTTTATTTTGTTATAGTATCATTACTAATTCATGGCTAATCTCAGATTGCTTATGTATTGACATTTCCTGGTTATTGATTCCTGAAAAAAGTTTACATAAATAAAATAATTGTGGCATGGGAAGTTATTTTTCTCTGTAGAATAGTTTCTCTTTTTAAAAGTGTATTATTTAAAATTACTGTTTTAGTCAAACGTGTTTTCTTCAAGTGATTTTTGTTATTGTTAAAAACATTTGCAATATCATGGCTTGTAGAAACTCAAACCACTAACAAATTAGCTTTCTTTAAAAACATTAATGTTACATTATACAACCTAAATATAAAAACCTGCAAATGAGAGAAATGAGCTGCAATTTTCATAAATGTAATTATCATTCAAGAAAAAAGGAACAAAGTTTAAATTTTTATTTTATTTTATTTTATTGAGATGAAGATGTGCTCTGTAGGCCAGGCTGGAGTGCACTGGGGAGATCTTGGCTCTCTGCAACCTCCATCTCCTGGGTTCAAGTGATTCTCCCACTTCAGCCTCTGGAGTAGCTGGAATTACAGGCATGTGCCACCATGCTTTTTAGAAGAGACGGGGTTTCACCGTGTTGCCCATGCTGGTCTCGAACTCCTGACCTCAAGTGGTCCACCTGCCTCAGCCCCCCAAAGTGCTGGGATTACAGGTAGAAGCCACTCTGCCCAGCCTAAATTATTTTTAAAAAGCACACAAAAAGGTGCCTTTTAAAAATTCTTTTGTTCAAGTTGCTGCATTTTAATAGAGAAATGGAAACATTAATCTACGCTCTGTGTCTTTAAAGATTTCATTTGTTGTTGAAAAAAATGAGTGAATTCAGTTTAAAACAGAGACTTTAAAGAAAGGTGCTATTTTGTAGTTAATTATCACCAAACTTGTAATAGTTTTCAGAGAGATCTGAGTCAAAATTTCGAAGAGTCAGAAATGAGTTAAAGAGGGGATTGGAAATATTAGCGTCAAATTTAAAAGCAACTGAACTTTGGAGACAGAATAGGGGAAAACAAAACTATAATATCTTTATAAGAGAACTTAAACGTTTATGGATTAGTGAAGTATACACTGGGATACAGTGAGATTAGGCATAGCAATTATTTCAGGAAAAATTAAAGAATGTTTATTGAGGAGAAAATTAACGGTGTTTGGTAGGAAACATCTAGAGTTCTTACCTAAGTCTGAATCAGAAGGAAGAAACATTTAAAAGCCTATGTAGAAGAAGTTCTTCCAGAGCTGTTGTTCAGCAGCGAAATTTGGAGAGTGCACCATCTCTTATTTTTTTCTTGCTGACTTACCAGCAAAGAAATCTGAAATATTTTCTGTGTAAACATATTATACTTGAAATCACTGCAGTGCTTATGAATTTTTCTATAAACTTAACATAAAGGCTGATTGCCCTAATTTAGCATGAAAAGTTTAGTTAACTGAATGAGAAAAATTGTTTATGTTATCCATCATTTCCACAGATATTGTTTGTATTAGCTATTGGTATACTATATGAAATCTATACTGAAAAAATTTTAATCTGGAAAGCTGCTATGATTTTAAAATGCATGCTCAATTTTTTATATTATCAATCATAGTGGAATTATATGCTCCAGTTGAAACCATTAATATTTTTATGTGACTGATATGCCTCATTTTGAAAAACAGCTTTATAAAAGATTAAAAGGTTATATTATAATTAGATCTACCTTTAACTCCGCCAATCATTCTGCTTGTCTACATGGAAAAGTTGCCAGTGCCAATTCACAGGTGCATAACAATTTTAAGACATTCTACAGGAAGTAGAGGGTGCAAAAACATCTTCCCAGACTGGGAACAGTAAAATATGGAAGGGCAGGATGATTTTGTCTACTATAATATGGCCTCATGAGTGATAATATATATTGTATGTGTACCAAGTAGCATTAAATTCATTTGAAGAATGTTAGTTTTTTTCTGAAGTCCTTTGTTTGTGGCACTTATTAGGATGACCTCATAGTAGAGTTACTTTTTAAGATATCCTGTATCTCTTGTTATAGAATATGCCACTTGAAAACCAAATCCTTGACCACAGAAAGTAGCTTGGCACAATAGAAAAAAAAATACAGACTCTAGAGCTAGATTCCTTGGTTTATATCATGACTCCAACACTTATTTACTGTATGCCTTTGGGAAAATTGCTTAACCTTTCTATGTCTGTGATTACTCATCAGTAAATAGGGATAGTAACAATAGTAATTTCTCACTTGAGTTGTTATAGACATAAGGAAGTTAGTGCTACAACAGTGTCTGAAAGAGTGGAATTTTTTTCTCAGGCAACCATCAGTTCTGTCCCTCAGTTCTGTTCTTAGAGCCATTCAATTCACTGGATCTGGCTCATCCAGATTATCCAGGATAATCTTTACATAAAGTGAACTGATTAGAGATGTTAATCGTATCTATGAAATAACTTTACAGCAACACCTAGATTAGAATTTGATTGAATAACTGGGCACTATAACTTAGCCAAGTTGACACATAAAACTGATCTCATACAAGTATTAATGATGGACAAGGTTAAAAAGGCAAATTGGGAAGGCTTTGAATGGCAAAAGCAACAGTTTGGATTGTAAATGAATCCAACAGGATTTTAGGAAGATAAATCGGTAGTGATAAAAAAGTCAGTTTGAATCAAGAGTGTTAGAATGACATTAAACCTCTTAGGAAGTTATTTTAATGGTCCAAGTATGTGGTAATAAGTTTACCATAGGGTAGTAGATAAATTTGCAGTGGAAAATAAAGATGTGCTTAATATTCCAGAGGAAGAATTGATATAAAATAGGAATGGTATATAAGTAGAGAATAAGAAAAAATATCTATTTTCATCCTGGCTAAAAGAGAGACTCATCATACCATTAAAAGATTCCTACTACTTCACTCACTTTTGGCATCCACTGGTTACAAATTAATCTGATAAATTTAACAGAACTACTTAAGAATTATTATTCTCCCTGGAGAAATATGTAATAACATTTATGTTTAAATGTCTTCAGTTTTAAAGCATTAGTGTTCTGTTTTATTTTATAATTCTTTTTTAGAACACATTTTATTTCTACATTCTTTCAATTTATGGAACATTGATTTCAAAAATTCACATTTAATATTCATAGTGTAATGATTTGAGATCATTTGTCGATATAAAATAATAAATGGTTTAAAATAAGCATTGTTCTATGTAGGGTTCATTAGTTTTGGAGTTTTCTTTAATGTGCAGTGACAGCATTAATATTAGTTCATTGGGAATCTTTTATATTATCCTGTGTACTCTGTAGTGATGTTTCCAAGCTAAAGGTTATTACCTATGAAAAAATGTGGTCATGAAATCAGGTAGTAGGTCATAGGGACATATATTTAGAGATGGGTAGCAAGGGCAAAAAAGGTGATTGCAGTTCAAGCTGAGTAGGAGCTAGAGGAGAAGAGTACTGAGAATTTGGATGTATTTTGAAAGTAAAGTTGACAGAATCAATAGATTAGGTATTAGATTCTATTGCTACTATAATTAGAATGTTAATGCAGAAATTTAAAAAATTCTGTTCCCTTCAATTTTTTATGAGAATGCTAAACTCTCTTTTCTATAAAGATAAAATGCTGGCAGACTTGTATTTTAATCAATTTATTTTTCTGTTAGAGTGAGACAGTCATTTCCTAGATGAAGAATTGTGACAAATGTTTCATTGAAACTTTTTTTATTGAATGTTTTATTCTAAAATGTATAATTATCCCCCAAAAAGTTTAATGTATTTATCCTTTTATGAAAAATCTATCTTTAAGATATACAAAAATGCAAGGATGTTTAAGAATGAAGTTATAAAGAGATTACTACCTTACTTTGCATGAGGCAGCAGTAAAGAGAGTGAGTATTCCTTGATTATCTGTCTACTGTGTTCCAAGCTCTAAAAGTGAGCAAATGTAAAACAAATAGTAACACGGACCTTCACCTTAAAAACTTATGACGTCCCTGTGGAGAGGAAACAGTCATATGAAACATAGAAAGAATTTTGGAAGAAAAGTACATAATGATAACCAACATCATGTCGTTATCTTCTAAACTATGGAACATCTTAAAATCAAATATAGAAATATAACGCATTCCTTGCAAACCCTTTCAAAACCATGTCAGGGAGTTTTACAAGTGAGAAAACTACATAGCTAATCAACAACAAAATAAAATACAAATGTCAAGGAGAGGTTTACAAAGAAAGATTACCTTACATTTCAAAGTTTTCTAGAGGTGTCAGAGTTTTACATATGACACGTGCACTGTTTGCCACTTCGTTTGTTTAATCAGAGAGAAGGCTTGCTGGCCCAGTGAGTTGTGTGGTTTCTAGTGTGGCTTTCTCATCTTTACAACCTAAATTTGCCAACAAAAAAATTACCTATGAGCCTTTATTTGGGTTCAAAATACAAACAAAATGACAAAGAACAAAAACACTGCCTTCATCCCCTCCACACACAAAATATGTAATATCAGATGTGACAGTAAGATATTAGAACTTGAGGATTCTAACCCTTAGTTGGTTGAAAACCACGTTGGACACTTATGTTTCAAACTTTTAACTAAACCTGCCCAATAGTAATCCTAGAAAAATCAGAACCTACGTATCTGACATGCTCAGATGCACCCCTCAAGAGTAAGCTCTATACCAACAACTCCACTGATTCTACCAGAATTTTATAGCCATATAGTTGCTGCATCCTATTACAGTAATTAGAGCAGCCATTTCTGGGTCAAACTATTTGGGTTCAAACTTCTCCTCTCTCAACTGTTATCAGAATTATGTAACTTTTCTGTCCTTGAGTTTTTTTACTTGTAAATGAGATTAATAACTACAAATATCAAACTGGTTTGTTAGGAGATTTAAGTGAGTTAATATATTTTTTTAAAACTTAGATCAGTGTTTGGTATGACAAAAGTTTATTGTTATTAATATAGTTGTTATAGAAAGTGTTCTGTCAACTCTGGAGTTGACACTAGTCATTACTATCTCTTGAGAATAATGTAGCATTGAAAAACAGAGAATGAACTACTTAGAATGTGTATCAGGTATTTTATTTTTTCTGTTTGCATCAACTGAAGTACTTGCAGTGACCACTCTGAAAGGTTCTATGGGGAAGGAATGCTTTTTCCTGAAGCACAACAGGAGACTCAATACGGCCACCTTGGTGGAATTATATGCAAGAGAATGCTTTGATCATTAAAGAATAATACTGTTGTGATTATACTTTCCTATTACCTTGAAGTAATAGGAGATACTTTGAGGTAACAGCATTCTGGAACAAAATATTAATGCAAAGATTGTCCTGGTCTTAAAATCAAATATAGAAAGATAAGGTAGTCCTTGTAAACCTTTTGAAACCATTAGGGAGTTTTACAAGTAATCAGTTAATGAAGAGAGAAAGTTACAACATTATTTGGCTTAATGAGTCATAGTAAAGACGGGTCTTAATATAAAAAAAAATAATTTTACTAATGCTCTTTAAATTGTTTTTTGAGAACATATGATAAATTACCCTTCAATGAAATATTAAGATTGGTATATGACCTAATTGAAAAAAATTCAGGTTTTAGAAATAAATGACATCTATTAGTGTGTCAAAAAAAGGAAATGAAAGAAAAATCTTCAGATTCAACTCTTTGGAATCGTTGAAAGTTGGGCAAAAGGTACACCTCTGTAATCGATGAGATGCCTTGTTGAAACATCCCAAATGGTTTTGAATTGCAATTTCATGAGATTCTTTAGAGCAGTTTTATACAAGCAGCAAACATAAGCACTTGCCAGTTTTGCTGGTTGTAGAAACCAGGGGAAATATAAGAAACGTAAAGAGCTCAATTGCATTTCCAGATAATCCATATCATTTATCCGAAAATGAGTCTTTAATTTCAAAGCATAGGAACCACTTTAAAATTTGGTGTTACATGACCTTTAAAAAACATTTTATTAGATTTTAGAACTGGTCTTTAATAATGCTAATATATATCATTTATATTCATTCCAAACATTTTAAAATTAAAGAATGAGCATATAAATTGAAGCTTAACCATCATTTTTCTAATTAAACAAATAATATATACTATAATATGTATTGATAATTTGGGATCTGTTATCACTTGGAATTTTTGCTTTATGTGCCAAAGTAATACTGACACGTGTTTAAAAGGAAATTAGAAATCTGTAAAATGTTACCTTTCCCTTGTCCTCTCTACAGTGGGAAACTATATGGTGTTTTTTATGCCAAAAAATATGAAAGCAAATAAAAGTGTAGTAATAACTGGAATTTTATTCAATTGTGATTTGTATTAATAGCTAGTATGTGCTTACAAAATACAAGAACAAATGGAGAAAAGGAAATGGCAATAAATACCTAACATTGCATGGCTTCTGGATTCTTGAGATAAACTTTCAGTTAATTCTGAAGGTTGTCATCATTACAAACTATAATTCTACATCTGAGAGTACTCTAACAAGTGTTATATAGCTGCTAGAAATTATTGAATAGGAACTAAAAACTTTTATTAGTACTCATTACATTTCAGTATTTACTATAGTATCATTTTATTTTTTTAAAAAAGGCAGTATATGTGTTATGGATTCAAAGACAGTTTTGAAAAGGACTTTAGTATTCATTATTCAAACTCGGTTATTTTCTTGATAAGGTCATTCAAGACCCAGAGAAGTTGTGATTTGTTTAAGCTTACACAGGAAGATAGTAGCAAAATTAGGTGTTGAATGAAGTATCCGATCCTGTTCAACATCCGTTTGTCTATTTATTGCGATATACTGTTCCTAATTTTGGAGAGTACTTAACCAGCAGATGAAAGACCTAAAGACAAGTAAAATATGTATATGTGTCTGCCACTTGTATATGTTGTATGTGAAATTGCTTCATCTGTGGAACCCTGCCCCTGTCTGTTAAATGATTCTCTGGACATCATTTTAAAGTAGGCAGGGGTTTGGCAGAGATGTGAGTGAGCTAAGTAGACTAAGTAAAGTCTATGTATTAGCCTCCCTAACACAGGGGCCACATGTCTAAGCTTCCATGAAGTATTGCATCTTTCTTTCTTCTGCTTTGCTTAATGATATTTTTATTAACATAATTCCTGGATAAAAATGCTTTGGTGTTATCTATGTCCTTAAATGCTTCTTCACCTTCAGAGCATCTAGTGATACATAGGACATTTTCTGAAAGTTGAACATATTTATCATTTATTTCATATTTCTGCATCGATGTGTTTGGCCCTAGATGAAATAATTTTTATTTTATTTTTCAGAGAGGGTCTTACTGTGTCACCCAGGCTGAAATGCAGTGGCACAATTTTAGTTCACTGCAACCTCTGCCTCCTGGGCTCAGGTGATCCTCATACTTCAGCCTCCTGAGTAGCTGGGACTACAGGCCTGCACCACCATGCCTGGCTAATTTGTTTGTAGAGATGGGGTTTCGCCACGTTGCTTATTGCTGGTCTTGAACTCCTGAGCTCAAGCGATCCACCCAACTTGACCTCCCAAAGTGCTGGGATTACAGGGATGAGCCACCATGCCTAGCCGAAATAATTTTAAAAAGCTTGTTCATAGCTAGAGAATGTAAAGAAAGAAAAGAAAGGACTGATTTGGTCTCAAAAGGGTCAAGCAATAGCATTCTGAAGACTGGACTGTGAGACTTAAGGATCTGAGCAGAAAGGAAAAGTAGAGATTACAGTTTTGGAGGAAAAAAAAACATGTTTCCAAAAAGTAAAAAACATTTAATGTTTTTATCAATACCATTTCAGTAATGGTGTTTTGATGAGCCACTAAAATCAGCATATAAGTGACTAAAATCAGCATAAAAGAAAATTAGCAAACAGGTGAGCATGTTTTTTTTGTTTTGTTTTTGTTTTCTTAACAGAGAACGTAGGAGAAATGAGAATGAAGAGGAAAGGATTGTTAAGAGAAGTAAAATGTGGCAGAAAACACCAAGATTTTGGAAATAATTTAGATGTGAACACAGAAATTGATGTTATCAATGGATTATGTGGTTGCTTTTCAAATATTGATTAGGAAAATGGTAGGTGAAAGCAATTTGCCTCCAGATTCACTCTTTGTCATTTCATTCAAAAGGTCTAAGATGAGGCAGGTGGCCAGCACACTCTAGAGACACTAAATCTCTTCAGAAGACAAACTAAGATTTCTATTCATGACATTCTTTCATTTTAAGAGACATTTTAAAGGAAATAATGTCTCAGCCCTTAGGCAACATATACATAAATTCACATATTTTACATCAAAATAAAGTCATGTTTGTCTTTCTTGTAGTATTTTGAACTACAGGAAACTTCATTTCCAGAGCTGTTATGCATATTTTTACATTTAAGAATAGTCTCCTGTTGTGCACTTATTTCTTCAGTTTCCAGAAAAGTGTGTATCATCTATTTTTTTTCCTTTTTGCTAGAACTAAGTGGTTTATTTTTCTAAACCTTTAAATCATTTTCATAAACGTAAACATAGACTCCAGATAGTATATCAGATAGTATTAAAACACCTCCTCTTTCAATATCTTGCACAGATGTGATCGCAAAGCAGTACAAAGAGGTTGCTGGGATATGGTGTAATTCATACAAGCAAAATCTGAGGAAAAATGTATCTCCAAGTATGGAAAACACAGGATAACACAATGAAAAATCAACTGTTTACATTATTAGGTCTTCAAAGTGTTATATATTTAAGAACAATAACTTTTATTTTGAAAACACAATATGTGCTAATTATTAAAATTTAAGCAGTACAGTTAAGCACAGAATTAAACACATTGCTCAAACTCTATCAGGCAGAAATAACCCAGTATAGACTTTTGGTTAACAGTATTCCAGGCATTTCTTTGCATAAATACAAGTGCAAGAATGGAAATACTGATTTAAAAAAATAGCATTTAACATATAAACAAGACTCCACCAATAATTTTCTAAGCATTTCACATCTGTCATCTCATTTAATCCTTAGAAAAGCCCAGTGAGATTGGACTATTTATACGTCCCATTTAACAGCTAAACAATAACATGAAACTGTAAGTAAGGAAAGTGATGCTGGGGATGAATGGATAGATTCATAGGAAGAATTAACTTTAAAAAAAAAGAAATTATAGCATGGATACTATTTTAAAATAACGTTGAACTTTAACAGAAGAAAAAAAAGTGAAGTGAATTGAAGGTGTTACCAAATTTTTTATATATCTATCTCTTTGCCAAAAGCGATATTAGTTCCTAAAAGGTTGTTTTAAGGTTCAAGAAGATGATTATGAAAGTCATTAAGTGTTTGGCATCATCGTGTTTTTCCTTAATAGCACATTTCAAATTTTGACAGTAATGCATATCATACATGAATGATGAAGTGAATAGCTGACTTAAATTTCTGCCTGGTAGCATAGTCCACCCCAGTTTTTGTTTCTTATTTTAGTCTTACTTGCCAGGATTTGCAACGTTTACATTTTGTTCTGAAATTATGATTTCCATAGCAGTTTAATCTAAATTACATATTGAAATGCATTCAGATAACCAAACACTTTATTTACTATTTCTTCTTCTCTATTTACGAGACCTATGTTTATAAATTTCAGTTTTCCTCCTCAAGATGTTTTTCTAAAAATGACCCAACGACTTGGAAGTTTTGTAGGGTATTTCAAACTTGAGAATATCTAGGACATCTTTATGTTTGGATCTTTCTTTGCCTCAGAACATTAGTCATTGTTGCACAGTCTTCCTTTATTCTCCTGTAGAAAAAAATCTGAATCCATCCCAATTTCCCTCCTTGAAGGGGTCTTACTTTTTCTTCGATGCCTGAGACTTCATTTTTTATCCTTACATTTTAGTTATATAATTGATATGTTTTAATGCTGATTGTCCTGTTCCATTGTTCCTCTGGGTTCTATCGTTAGAACATTTTCTTCTTTTTTCTACTCCCCTTGGGAAGTCTCTTTTACACCCACAACTTAAATCACCATCCATCTCTTGATGACTTTCCTGCCTAAATGTCACCCCTAAACTCCAGACCCAAACATTTGTCTAGCAGACACATAACTTTTAAAAGACTTTAATATAACATAAGGACAAATCCCCAATCAGGCTTATGAGAGTCTTCAATAACCTTATCCTCCTCTATCTGAGCCAGAAACACCACTAAGAACTGTTGGTTTCCGGTGACACTAACTCAATCTGGCTTCAGCAAGAAAGGGAATACATTGGTTTACATAAAAGAACACCTCACAGGGAGGGCTGTCTCTAGGCCAACTTGATTCAGGGCTCATTTGATAAACTCTCCTTCAGTTTTCATTGGGTTGCGTCAGTTCTCAGACTCTTCCTACTGGCCCCTGGTAGAGTCAGATTTACATGACAACTCTCAGATCTACTTCTCTAATAACTCAAACTCACCTTCCTGAATAGAATCTTGCTGACCCTTGTAGGTTTGATATGGATCATGTGCCCTTCTTAGCCAGTCTCTGGATAATGTGTTCATGCCAGCCAGTGAATGATGAACTCATTGACTTAACCCATGTGACATAATGCATTCCCAGACAACAAGGACTGATTGTGGAGAAAGAGTAGGTCCCTAAAGGAAAGCCAAGCCAGTTACTGGAAGAAAGGAGAAAGGATGTTATAGATACAAATACCATTAAAAAAACACTCTTCCACAGGTATCAGCTGTGACCAGTGTTCCCCTCCCTTACCATCTACATCTCATTAAACATTCAGACTTCTTGTTTGTTTCAAAACCTCTTGAATATGTGTATTTCTCCACATAGCTACTACTGTCCACCTGGTGTCAGTCAGTGCTTCTCCTAATGTCTATGATGAAACAGCGGATTTTTTCCCTAATCTATCACAGACTCATATTTTTCAAAAATCTTATAGTAATATATATATTCAAAAGGATGCCTCCTTTGTCAAAATGCTATAACAATTGGTAAATGCTGACTCTCAATGTCTATATTTATCTGGCATGCAACACTTGGTGTCAACTGCTATAGGCCACCGTCATCTGTCTCACACACAGACCCGTACAGTAGTGTCCACCCATCAGGTGGACCTCCTCTTCTTCCAGTTCCGATGCTGCTCCAAAAGAGGAGCGAGCATTTTTAAATGAAAATCTAGTCATTTTATCTTCCAACCTGAATATCTTTAAGTAGCATCACATTTTTCTCATAATCTATTCCTCTCTCCTTAGCGTGACTTTTGGTTTGTCTTCTCAAGCTTCATCTCTCTTATATGTTCTTTTTTTTCTATGTGCTCCTTTGTTTTTTCTCACAATCTCTTTCCACTCTTGCTCTCCTCAGGGGCTCTGTCTTTACCTTGAACATACACAGACTCCACTATACTTCCTTGCTAAATGTCAATGCTCTGCTTAGCTTGTTCCTCCTGGAAGACTTACCTGATACCACAGTCCTCTCAACTAAATCACTGACTCAAGGGTTTTTGTGGTATCCTGTGCTTAACCACCCTGTCCTAATTCTTCTAATCCTATTTTGTAAATTGCTTATTTAGTTGTCAGTATGTATGCTTTCACTAGATCAAAGGATCTTGGGAGGTAAGGCCAGATCTTGTTCATCATTATATCTCTGCCCCTAACACTATGACTAATACCTTACTTTCACCAGTTACTGTGGAGATTTGGTCAATTAATGGGTCCATCTGAGGAAATGTAAAGAGGGAACTCAAGCCAGACCAGACTGTTCATGCAACACAATTCTATACCCAATACCTAGACTATACCTACATATATGCCCTCTTCTGGGCCTTCCCAGGCCCCAACCCCATCACCCTACTTTACCAGTTCCACTCTAATTTAAGTCTTAGCAAACACCTGTAATGCCTTGAAGCCAGAAAGTGAAGTCCTCCACTGCGTTGTCAAGGCCACCAGGAGAAGTGGATAGAAAATTAGTCCCATGTTCTTCAAAATATAACAACAAACTCACTTATCCAAACAAATAATAGTGATTAAGGGGTATTATGCTATTACTGCAAAAGGACCAACAGTTTAGAACTGGGAAGGCTGTGTACTATAAGCAAAAAAACATGGACTTTGGAGCCTCATCGAAATGAATTAAAAGTGGACACTACAACTTAATGGCAAGCCTAGTATTTAACTCAGTTTTCACACATCTAAAATGCAAATAATACCTTCTTTATAGAGCTTTTGGGACATTAAATAAAAAAAATCTGTACAGTGCCTAGCACATGGTTGGTGCTCATTAAATGTTAGTTATTCTCTTTTTTCTTTTTCAAGTATACCAAGATTTAACAAAGATTTGATATACCTTTATTACACGGAAAAAAAAGCTTCCGTGATTTCAAACAACTATCTTACAGATGGGATTTTTTAGAATATAGCACATTTATTAGGAGGTTAGTCCCTGATTCCTTGCATATTTTAATAACATGACCATTTCAAAATTCAACATTATGAAATTGTAGAACCAAATTGAATAGATTTGCACAATCCCCCTCTCTTCCTGCCCTGTCTCCCAAGCAGATTTTATCTGTGACAGAATTACCCACTAATGATGATAAGCATGGCAGCAATGGCTAATTGCTTCCTAGGAGATTTAGATTCAGAGAAGCATGAGTCACCTCACCCCAGATTCTGCAGGTTCAGATAAGCGATAGTATCTTGAGCATCAAAGTAAGCAATGAAAGGGCTTGACCAGCTTTTAGTTGATCCCTAGCTATAATCCTAAATAATTAAAACTAGCTTTCTAGTTCCCCCAGAGTTTGCATTTATTTCCAAGAAATGCCACACCACTTTCTTGGTTACATGTCTGTTTTTATTGCTCATTAGAATGGTATTGCTCTAGGCTTGCTCACACAAACATTTGGCGAGGAGATGATGGAATAAAAACAAAGCAGCAAGCTTTACCAGGAAATAACCTATTTTTATTTGCAGATATTCAAACTAAAAAATATTCTTCAGAAACTTCTGGGGAAAAAATGAGCAAGATTAAATATGCTCAAGCGTTGCCAGAAGAAACATGTCAATAAAAATAATTATTTTTAGAGTGTAGAGTGAGAAAAAAACCTTTAAAATTTAAGCAATGAACTTAGAATTTTACAGATGGTTTTATATGCTTGTGTGTGAGTGTGGACATAGCAAGTTAAAGGAGTAAAACAGACATTATAATTGATATGGTTTGGATTTGTGTCCCTACCCCAATCTCATGTCCAATTGTAATCCCCAGTGTTGGAGGTGAAGCCTGATGGGAGGTTATTAGATCATGGGGGGTGGTTTCTCATGGTTTAACACCATCCGCCTTGATGTTGTCCTGGCGAGAGTGAGTTATGGCAAGATCTGGTTGTTTAAAAGTGTGTAGCACCTCCCACTCCTTTATCTTCCCCCTGCTCTGGCCATGTAAGATGTTCCTGCTTCCCTTTCGCCTTTCACCATATTGGAAAGTTTCCTGAGGTCTCTCCAGCCATGCTTCCTGTACAGCCTGCAGAACTGTGAGCCAATTAAACCTCTATTATTTATCAGTTACCCATTCTCAGGTATTTCTTTATAGCAGTGCGAGAACAGACTAACAGTAATCAATGAGTTATCTGCCCGTTTTTGAAAAAGTAATTAAGATGAAGAAAAAACGTATAGCAGAATTCTGATACAAAATGCAGTCCTGCTAGCATTGTGTCAGCATTACTTGCACATCTTTAGCTTGAACTTTTGTAATAAATTAACAAATGAATATTATGTTATTTATTTAGTAAATTTCATAAGTAATGTTCTTCTGTATGTTTTCCAGCATACTAAAAATTGCAAAGAATGCAGACATGCATAACATTATAGTAAATGGTCCAAACAACAGGACATTAATTGACTAAGTGGGTGCAGTGTGTTTCTATGACCACCAATATAAAATGGAAATATTTTTAGATAAAGATAATGGACTATTATAACTTAAAATGACTTTGTTGTCTGTTTCACCATGAAATACCTTATAATGAGATGACGTGTTTATCTATAGTGAGTATGTTTGCTTTTTTTAAGGGTATAAATTAACAATCTTTTAAACAAGTTCTAAGAGGCAAGTTTGCAATCTCAGAATAACTGATCAGCAAAAGAGATGAATATTTTACTATTTTTCTTCAGCATATACTAGGTGCAGACTCCAGGTGTAGAAAATGTGTGTCCCACAGTCTCATGGAAGAAACCCACTACAGAGATTACACAAAGCTGATAGTCGAAAGAACAGACAGACCCTTTGGATCTCATGCAAGGCTTTAATAAAGGCAAAGAAAATGTTATGGTATACAAAAGAATACACAAAAACATGAGGAATCTGAGATGCTTCAAGGCACAGCTCTCTAGGGTCCTTTGTTAGTCACACAGAAGCCATCTCTAGATTATGAACCAACAGCATATGGGGGAGGAATTGTGGTTTCAGAAGACTTTGTTCTTACCCTGGCCAAGGATTAATGCTAGATTTCCACACATTCCAGAGATATCCATATAGCTGGCTTACTATCTCACACACATTGGCACCTTGACTTATACTAAGGAGCATCCTTGGGAAGGATGAAGAAAGATTTCCTAAAGAGCCAGTAGAAATTATCTTAGTGTTTCAGGTGAGGTGGCCATTATAATCAGAGGTAACAGTATACTCAGCATCCCAGAGACATACCAGAACTTGACACTAAATTAGAAAGTTTACCGGTTCAGTGTAGCTGGAGTGTATGTAAGTAAAATAGATAAAGAATTAACACAACACTACTTCAGTTGCATTTCTGGGTGACAGACTTGAACCTGAGATAGGGGATAATGAGGTACTGGGTCAGAGATACCTCTTAGTTCTAGATGTTGAATTTTAGATTCTATAGAACATCTGGGTTAGAAATATCCAAGAAATAATTAAAAAGCCCAAAATATAGAGCATAGTCTTTTTGTGATCATTCAATAAACACTAAACAATTAAAAGATGAATTTTAAGAGCTCTAACAATTCCTGTCAGAATCAGTTATAAATAGGAAAATAAACCAAAAAATGTTTTAAAATGTTTCATGCTGTGCACTTATGTTAGAACAAATTATTGTTTTCAAGTTTCACTATCCTCAAAGGAAAAGATGTTCTCTCAATTAAGAAAGGCATCAAATGTTCTATAGCACTGTAGGATGACTATAAATAAAAATAATATATTATGTAGTTTCAAATAGCTAGAAGGAGGATATTGAATGTTCCCAACACAAAGAAATGAAAAGTGTTTGACATGATGGATATGCAAATTACCCTGATCTGATCACTATATTCAAAGCATCACTATGTACTCCATGAATATGTACAATTATTATTTGTAAATTAAATAATATTTTTCTAAAGAAATAAACTTACACAAGATCAGGTGAAATCTGGCTTTACGTGGAGAAGGAGTTTGCAGTGGGAATTTCATTATGACTTGTTTATACCATGTGGAGTCAAATTAGACATTCTCTTCCTTTTTTTCCAGTTTCTCTTTTATCCAAGGATTTTAATCAATGTCTGAAGTTAGAATTTATTGAAATTAAATTCATAAATGTATGTGCTGTGTGTGTATACATATTATATATATACATATACAAATGCACATATATGTGTGTGTATATATATATATATATATATATATATATATATATGAACTCTGCATTTACTGTATCTTACAGACTGGGGAGTAAATGGTAACAACTTTTAAATCTAGCTGTCTTCATGTTGACAAAGCATCTTTCACATAAGCAATTCTCTTGAAACCTGAGAAAAGAAAAGCCTGGATTTTTTTTTCTGAATACTAAGCAAATTCCTTTCAAATACTTAATAGCAAAGATCATCATTATTATATTGTGCATCCACCTCATCCTGCCTCATGGTAAAATGTCTAAAAAGTCATCACAAACATGAAAAACTCATCTCCTGAAAACTACAGAAATTACATATGTCATTTAGAGTAGTGGCCTCTATACCTTTGCAAAGTGTCATGTCTCTGCTAAATATTACTACCTTACATATATTTATGCTTTTACATTCCAGGGAAGTAGTCAGAACTTATTACATGTTATAATTGGAATACAACCTCCAAGTGCATAAATTACTTGTATAAGGTCACACCATGTAAAAAGTAAAACCTGGTCTTCTATGCAGGTAATGTTCTTTTCAAATCTTAAATTATTTGAAATGTAATGTTTTTCTTTTTTACTCTGTCTTCTCTAGTTTCAGAAATATAAGAGTAGAGGAATATATAGTCTACCTATTTACATATGTTAAAACATATACAGGTAGTATTTTTATTATTATGATACAACTCTTTTTTTGGATTTTACATTAAATCAACCTTCTGCATTGAAGTATATATGAAAGAGAAAGCTGTTTTCGGGAATGATTGGCTCTTAATCCACAGAATGCTGCTACCTGATACCCTATTACCACGTGCTTTTAAAAAAATATATATTTAGTTCTTTTCTGCACTATCCTAATACAGACAATCATTTTAGCAACTAAGACATATGTGTCCTTGGCCAGATTAAGAGCTACTTCAATACTTTGTGTCATATGTCACAGAGCAACATTCTCATTGAATATGCAGAATTAATCTTATTTGAGTTTATTTAGGATGAATCAGTGTGTCTTATACTGGTGTGCTTGTTAAAAATACAGATTTTCTGTCCACTCATTTAGATTTGGTAGGTCTAGAATGAGCCTGAAAACCTGCATTTTGACACAATGTACGTGAGAAACACTGGGAAATATAAGGTTACTTTCTTTCTGTTGGAAGATGCAAATAGCAAAATAAGGGACACAGATAAAGCCTGTATTGATCAATAATGTCTACCTTGTTCCCTACCAATCTTTATAGGAAGCTAATGATAAGCCACAAATTGAGTGGCTTTAGTTTCAATTTTCTCTGCTCCTGCACACCAGCTGTGGCAGTGTTAATAAGCATCAAAATTGCTCAAAGGTGATGATTTAGGAGAGTAAAAAGAAAATTGTAGGATGTTAATAATCTTTTGTACTGGTGACACCTAGATAAATAAATCTTTTGGGAACAAGGGTCTTATAATACAGTTGACTATGCTAAAATAAGTACCAGTTTTCCAATGAAATAGAAATGCCTCTCTTAAGCTGTTCTTGAACATGTTTGCGTAGTACAGACATCACCATCAAGATTTTTTGAATGTCCATCTATGATTAACAAAACTTGGAGTCAAAATTATATAGTTTGTCCTAATAGTCCTCTGCCTTTCTTCACTGGCTCTTGATACTCCCTCAATGGGGCCCCTGGTCTTTTCCAAATTCTCTTCCCTTAATTCGTATCTTCTAACCAGCCATGTTCTATCAAATTGGGTAAAGGTTAGAGATTGATCATTAGTCTGTGCTGACTTATCAACTCTATTAGTACTTTAGCAGCAAGTACAATCCTGCTAGCACTGTTAACTGCTTAAAATTTGTCAGGCATGTATTCTGTCTTTATGTTCATGACAGTTCTATGAGATAGATACTGTAGTTATAATGACCCTATATGTACTTACCTATGTTGGTTACTATTATGGCTCCCATTTTATGGATAGTAACATTGAAGTTTATAAAAATTACAAACTTATATGTTTTGGCTCTGTATCCTCACCCAAATCTCTTGTGAAATTATAGTCCCCACGTATCAAGGGAGGGACCCGGTGGGAGGTGATTGGATCATGGGGGCAGTTTCCCCCATGCTGTTCTCATGATAGTGAGTTCTCATGAGATCTGATGGCTTAAAAGTGTGACACTTTCCTCTCTCTCTCGTTCTTTCTCCTGCCTCCATGTAAGACTTGCCTGGCCCCACCTTTTGCCTTCTGCCATGATTGTAAGTATCCTGAGGCCTTCCCATCACGTGGAACTGTGAGTGGGTTAAACCTCTTTTCTTTATAAATTACTCAGTCTCAGATAGTTCTTTATAGCAGTGGAAAAAATGGACTAATACACATACTTTGCCAGAAGTTACAGTTTGTTATTAGCGTAGTGTTCAAGTACAGATGGCATGATTTTAGAGTATGAGCTTCTAATCACTATAGCATGCCACCAGGTATGAGACCTCTAAGACCTTTGTTTCAATGTAAGTAGAAATGCCTCTTGTTAAAGATGTTTCCGCGTCTTAGAGTAGGTTGAAAAATTGTCAAGAAGAGTAAAGGGATTGATGACTCTTGGTCCTGCTGAGATATAAGCCATATAGAACTACACAGCGTCTTAGAAAAAGGATGCCCCTGTGTCTCACCCCTTGGTATGCTCCTGCTGTTCTGATGAGTAGTTTCTAGCAATTTATTCCTGAAAGTTGCCAAAACAGAAAAGAATAAGTGTCCTGTTGTCACTGCCTTCTTCCAAAACATATCAGCCAGGCAGGCTGTCTCCCCTCCTCTCCCAGTCTGATTTTCCCAAACTTGAACACTTTTTGTGTTTTTACCTCTGTCGCACCAGGATTTTCAGAGCCATATTTTTAATTTTTTTAATGCCTTAACTGATAAACTATTTTTTCAAAAATATATTTGTTAATGATTTGTACTGACTTCATAGACATCACATAGTCATGCTTTATTAGAATTATAGTAGATAGGTATATCCCTAGCGGTGTAAGAGGCAATTGAGGAGGAAGGATAATAGTAGGATGGAATAGATGTTTATAAAACTGGTAAGAAGAGGGACAGAAAGGGAGAGAGCTGCATCTGATATCCATGGAAGGTGGTTTTCCCATAGGCAGTAAGTTGTCCTGATTTACTCTATGGCTGGTGAAGCAATTCTTAAGGAAATATTATCTACATTTTAGAACACTTATTGTCTAACTTATCAGGATTCATTCTTGAGCCTGGATTTAGTTTTAATAAAGATACTATTTCATGTTTATTATTAGTGCTATAAGAATATTATAGAGTAAATTATTCATTTTCCCTCTAAAGTAATGTCTATAATTTATGTAGTAATACCCACTTCTGGATATTAACTATATTACTAAAAGGTTAAAATTGTCTTCTTTTAGTCTATAAACCTATGGATTGATATTTCCTGAGACCTCCTATTTCTGTTTTTCTTAAATGAGATATATTTGAAAACAGGTCCCACAATGTGTGACACAGAGTAGGTGACTAATATATGTTAGAAATCATCTCCTTCTTTATATTTTCTACACTATAAAATTGTGCAGTAATTTAATTTAATCTCTGGGTGTTTCAATTACTTAAGAAGTTTTCCTAGAAAGTCTCTTAGTCAGTTAGTGCTGCTATAACAAAAACCTGAGATTGGGTAAGTTATAAAGAACAAAAATTTATTTCTCACAACTCTGGAGGCTAGGAGGTTGAAGATCAAGGGATTGGCAGGCTTAATGTCTGATAAGGATCCTGTCTTTGCTTCCAAGATGGCATCTTGAACTCTGTGTGCTCCAGGAGGGAAGAGTGCTGTGTCCTCACATGGCAGAAAGGACAGATGGGCAATAAAAGGTCTAGCTAGTTCCTCAAGACTTCGTATGGAGTCATAAATCCATGACCTAATCATTTCCTAAAGGTCTCACGTTTTAATACTGTTGCTCTGGAGATTACACTTCAAAAATCTTTGAGGGAGTACAGTATTTAAACCAAGCCTGTTAACCTGCAGCCTATGGGCCACATGTGGCCCAACACAAATTCTTGAACTTTCTTAAAACATTATGAGGTTTTTCGGCATTTTTTTTTAGCTCATCCACTATCATTTGTGTTAGTGTATTAGTCCATTTTCACACTGCTATAAAGAACTGCTTGAGACTGGGTAATTTATAAAGAAAGAGGTTTAATTGACTCACAGTTCTGTATGGATGGGGAGACCTCAGGAAACTTATAATCACAGCAGAAAGCGAAGGGGAAGCAAGCACCTTCTTCAGAAGGTGGCAGGAGAGAGAGAGAGCAAGGGGGAAACTGCCAAACCATCAGATCTCACAAGAACTCACTCACTATCATGAAAACAACATGGAGGAAACTGCCCCCCGTGATCCATCACCTCCCACCAGATCCCTCCCTCGACACATGAAGATTACAATTCGAGATAAGATTTGTGTCAGGACACAGAACCAAACCATATTAGTTAGCGTATTTTATGTGTTGCCCAAGTCAATTCTTCCAATGTGGCCCAGGGAGGCCAAAAGATTGGACACCCCTGATTTAAACCATAGCAGTCTCCTTTTCTTGTAACCATAACTAGACATGGACATGACTTCCATGGACTTTGCATGTAATAACACACACCAAATCTTATAAACGATGGAGAGTACTATTACCTTGTTAATACCATATGAATCCCTGAACTAGTAACGCTACCATCTTTTTTATCTTGATAATACTGTGTACTGAAAAACTTTAGTAACACATATACATTAAAATTAATTCTTAGAATACCTACCTGTATCCTAACTCTTTGGATTTAATTTTAGGTTAAGATATACTTAGTAAAATAAAGCCTTGACAATCCTTTTTAAAATGCTGATCTTCATCTGCCCAATACTTTTTTTCCCTGATAATTACCATTCCTTAATTCAGTACTACAGAGTATCTCAAAAGTAATGCTAAAAATGATGCTTTGGAGAGCTAAGGAGCAGAAATAATTCAGCTGTCACTCTTCTGTACAGTAGAAGGAAATGTCATGACTTCTAACTTCCAACATTAATAACATAGAGCTAGGAAAGCTCTAAAAAGAATGTATTGTCTGAAAAATAAAACTGACACGATGTCATGATTCACATATTTTCAATTTGGAAAACATGACTGTAGAAATTCATTGGGACTTTTAAAAGCTTGGAAGTTTACTGGAAGTAGGAACTATACTAAGGAGAACCATTTTTAAAGCAGGGCTTGAGTTGCCTATGTGGTGTATATACCCCTACAATGCATTTCAAGCCTAATAATTATTTCATGGTTTTATAAATTAAATGTTGTTATAACAATTATAAAGAAAGTTATTTTGACAGGCAACTATGTAGATCAGAATATAAAGGCAAAGGTAGTTATTTCTTTATCCCATTTTGACAGAGAGTAATAGGTATTTCTCCAAAGTACTTAACAATAGCAGAGAAAATGATGGTTAACAATAATTGTGAAACTGTTTTTCATATTCATAGCTATTGTAAAAATAAAACAAATATCCAGTGGGCTATTTGAAATTTAGTGAACTATCAAACACTTTTGTTGGTGAAATCACATATTAATCCAATTGCAAATCAAAGTTCCATCATATACATGAAGCTGCTTTATTTTTATTTCAGCTAATCAACAGTGAATCATAAGTTAACTGGTTTTTTTGTTTGTTTGTTATTTTACTTTATGCTGCTGTTGAATAAAGTCATAGCCTACTTTCTGAATGATCTCTAGCAAATTTACAAGATTATATGGCTTTTGACTGCAAACCTGTTTCTACTCTTCCATTTTGCTTTGTTGTTTTTTTTTTGCTTCATTTTGCTAATTTGTTTTATCTTTCTGTATTTTATGAGTAGTTATAAGCTACCTTAAATAAATTTTTGGAAGTAGTGGAAAATTTTTTAATCAGTGAAATTATTTTTTAAAATATTTTTATTTGAGGAAGGAACCCCTGGGAATTCAAGATCAATCATCAGCAAAATACCCTTTGTCTTAAACCTCTCTTCTGAACCTTATTGCTGCTTCTTACTCTGAATAAAAACCAATTCTTTCATAAGGACACTAAATCCCCAGTAGCCTCTGAAGTGGTATGTGTTTTCCTTCCACAACTATCCTGTAGCACCTGCTATAACAGGTGAATTAAATGTTCTCCTTTTCTCTTCCCTAAAATTTTCCAGCTTTGAATTTCACATTATCAAACTATGCCACCTTTCCTCTCTGTATTGAAATCATCTACAATCCCGAGTCATTCCTTCACTGTTTTAATTTTGTAACGCTTGGTTCATAGTTTGCCCCCAAATAACTCCATACTATGAAGCATATTATAATATACAGAATAGAATGTACATATTATAATATACAACAGCATATTCTAATGTATAGTATTCTATATAAATATAGAATCACACACTCTTCTGAGGTACTGATTTCCTTGTACAAAAATATTCTCAACCAAATAGACACAGCATTCCAAGTCCTTGGTCCATTCAGTGAAGATGTGCCATTCTGGGCTAGTAATAGAATTATCAGTGCACAGTCCTATTCATATGGAAGATCACAACCAAGAAGTTAAATGATTTGCTGTAAACTCTTTCTGTCTGTTGAACTGGAGATAAGTAAATTAAAGGCATTGAAATAATTTATGATATATTTATTGAATGCTGTGCCTTGACCTTCATAAACTGCATCATTTAACAAGACAAGTTTCAGACTTTAACCAATTTATAGTCACTGAACAAACATGCCTCAGACTTACCTCTTTTTTACCTCATAGTTGACCAACTGCATGACCTTATTAATGAGATCACCACACATCTACATAGTACAGTTACACTACTTAACAGATATATAATTATAGTACTGTATCAAAATTTACTTTATTAAATTTAGGAAAGAAGTTTCTAGAAGAATATATACAATATAATTAGCACCTAATAAAGTTTTAGTGTGATATTTCCTGCAAATTTTAATCTATAACATTTGATAAGTAGTGCCCTATTTATACACTCCTTTTGTCTTTTAATTTTAACTACAGTGTCATAAGCATACTTGCTAATGTAAGTATTCATTTTATGATCCCTATTAAATTTAAGATTTTCACTAATTAAATTCCTGGAGTTATAATGGGACATTAAAATTATTGGGAGAACTAGCAATGATAAATATATTTTCCTACTCGTTTGCATTTATATAATTTCAAATCAGTACATAAAAGCCAGAAACTAATTGATTATAGTTGTTTTCTATAATCTACCTGGATTATGTAGTATGGAGCAATTTAATTTTAGAGATACTCTTTGGCTTTTATCTATAAAATACTTTTAGTTCTCCCACTTGAATAAATGAGACAAGTCTATTAAATACTAACTTATTAAATCCTTAGCACTGTGCTAAACTCCATTGTCTCATTAACTCAAGAAATCCTCAGAAATATCACTACTGTTATTTTAAAGAGCAACAAGCTTGGGATACAAAGTAGATATAACAAAACAATTAGAAACAGCAGAGCCAAGATTCAAATCTTAATCTCCATAATTCCACAGATTCCCCTTAAATTCTACATCACTATGTAGAGTAAAGTTTGACCTTGTTATTCAGTAAGTAGTCAGTCCTTGAGGACAATAACAATTTACAAAAGTAAGCGCCTTAATGTCAGTGTTTACATGGGAATTTGTGTTTTACTCATGGCTTATATGATAAATTGGCAAATTTGCTATCCTGATAACAAATTGAACATTCAGTCAATGTGGGGAAGAACCAACCACAACCTGAACTTCTCCCAGAAAGTGTGTTTACAGCAGCAAGCCAAAAGCACTTTCTGTGGAGTGGCTAAGACTGTTGAGAGAAGAGAAAGTTACTTTTTCTCTCCCTGCATTTGCCCTAGGCTTTTGCCAGACCATCCACCCACTTTGCATTCTTTCCTGAAGGCTCCTGGCAGGATTTCTATAGGCGTAGATTGACAGATGGGGTTCTAGTAACTGAGGCCCCTCCAGCTCCAATGGGATGTCATCAAGGACTTTAAAAAGGCCTTTCCCCAAACTACCTGCTTTATAAAATGCTATCTATCTTCAAATAAAGAGTTAATCATGATTAAGTGGCAGTAACTCTGAGAGTCTCTAGGAAAATCCCATTCTAGAATTTATTGGGCTTTATGGAGTGATGCTTCCTGGGTTTGTGCAGATGTTTCCACCTGAATATTCACTAAACGAGTGTGTTTCTGGAGCAAAGAGAATACCATTTGTTTTCTTTTTTTTTTTTTTTTTTTGCTTGTGGCAAGCAGTATCCATAATTTCTATGGACAAACATAATTTTGAAATTTGTACTAGGTTAGCCCTGAAATGAGATGGAATAAGTATCATGACTCTAACGCTATTATAATGCTATGTTCTTGCCCATACTTCACTTATTTGTGTATTTTAATAGCATGCATCACTTTGAATGAAAACAATCAAATTAATCTCAGAATTGAGTCAGTATTTGTATTTTATATTTTGCATTATTATCAAGGAACTGAAGTGGCATGTCACAAAATGCTTCAACTGAAATTACGTTAAGTGGTTTACTCTAATCTTCAGACATATTAATAAATGAAACTACATAGTTCATTAATTACCATTCCTATGTAACAATTAGATGCACAGTTCATATTTCAATTAATAAATGGAAGTGCACAGAGTCAAGGCTCATTTCAAATACCAGTTCTGTAGTCTGAAAATACCAAGCTTAAATATTTGATATATTAATCAAATATATCATGAAAAATAGGTATAGTTCTTTTTGAGAAAGTGATATGCTGCAATATAGTTCTGTATATATAAAGGGAAGTTTTTTATATAATTTGGGATTATAGTTACTAATCAGGCTATTAAATTTTTATAACAGTTCCAATAAAATCATAAAGGTCTATGATAATACCAGGATTAGAAATTTAAAAGGGCAGCTGAAAAATACTCGTAGAAGTTGCCCAGGAATGTGCTACCACTGATTTTTTTAAAAGGCCAAGGAAAATCAAATAGAATCAGCATACAGTAGGGTTCGAACAAAACCCATTAAACATTACAGTGAAGCATTACATAACTTTACTAAATAGCACTATTTAGTGATAATTGACTTCAAGTGTTGAGAAAACTAAGTCAAATTATCTTTAAAAAACAGGGATTTAAAAAGTAAACAAAATTACCAAACTGAATTTAGAAGTCTATAATAAGATTGGCCTAATTGTAACAAAAGCATGATTTGCAATAGTGGAAGCAGAATACTTCCTCACTTTTACAAAAGGGGAAGAGAGAATTAGGCTGTTTATTAGCTGCTAAGATAAAACAGGTGATCACCTCATAGCTGTATCTGATTGCAGACTGATTAAAGTGAGATGGACCCAGTTGATTATACAAAGAGTACTACACTCCTTTCCCGTACTCCACAATTGTCAGGACCCCACCATATTTGGATGCTTGATGTTCCTGTCTTCCCGTCTGTCATTTAGTGAGCCAAAGTCACCAGCTTCCCAGCAGATTCCTTTCAGCCTACTAACAGAATTATATTGACTCTATAAAATAATAAGAAAAAAAATGGCCCTTGTGGAAAAGAATAAAAGCCACAAACCCATTATTCTAGCATTACTTTGGGATCTGGAACCAAATAATACACACCTGGACACATCATTCGACACCATTTGCTTTTGGAAGCAAATATTTATTGAGTGCCTGCTATGTGTCAATAGGCACTTTACCCACACAATTTTTTTTCCCACAGCCCACTTGTAAGTACAGGGGACATCTATCTACATTTTATAAACTAATAAGCTGCAGTTCAGTGGCATTAAAATTCATAGACCTAGCAAGCAGCAGAGCCAGAATTCAAAGCTTAAGTCCACGTGACTGTCACTCTGAAACTTATTTGCATAGTTCCACCAAGCCACGTCCACAGGGATCTTTAACTTTTCTGTTCATCACTTTCTTTTCAAGTATCTGGAACAGTGCCTGGTACACAGTAGGTCTTCAGTAAACAGCTGTGGAATAAAAGAAGCTCTACTCTGGTGCAGAGCCTGCTCTCCCTAGTGGCTCTGTAGGAGGCCACCGACATTAAGCTTGTCTCAATATGTTCCAGCTCAGAGTGTTTTTTGTTATTGTTGTATGTTTATTTTCTTTACGGTTCCTTGTGTTGAATCTTTAAACCTGGAAGGTAAAACAGGATCCAGCCTTCTTTGCTTTGACCTTCATAGCACACTAATGACAGTTCTGCATACAGCAATGCTTTGCAGAAATAGACCGTATTAATCATTGACAGAAAGTTTGTTAAAAGAAATCAATAAATCTGCATTTCAGGAGTATCATTAGCCCACACTCATTTTTCACTCAAAAGAACTATGCACCACCTATCAAGACCTGAAGAGTAGATTTTTCTCCTTTTCTACAAAAAATGAGGACAGGAGTTTGAGTAACAGACTCCCTTAATATGATCACTCATTTTCTATGATATTCAAATATGAAAAATAAGTTCTGCTTGTAGCATGGGAGGAGGTTTTCTTAAAAATGGCTTAAGAGTTCAAAGCAAACAATAATCACTTACAGCTAGAAAACTACGCTGTGGCAATAATTGTATATTTGAAAACTTTTTGTTGCAGTTGATTTGGTTTGTTCTCAAATAATGAGGCTTTGGGTAGAATGGAGTGAAAGAACCTGTAAGAAAAATAAGGCACTCTGGTCATTGAAGATGTGTGTGTAGCCTGTGGCAGCAGGTCAGAGGTTTGGGTCTATTTTGTTCACTGATGTATCCTCATATCTGAAACAGGACCTGATACATAGAGTATGCACAATAAATATTTTTGAGATGGATTAGGACATAGAAATCATAACGATAATCCAGTGTCTCAGAGAAATCCTGTGAATGGTAAG
The DNA here is from genome assembly GCF_000001405.40 of Homo sapiens. Lineage (NCBI taxonomy): Eukaryota > Metazoa > Chordata > Mammalia > Primates > Hominidae > Homo > Homo sapiens. The sequence goes on from NC_000002.12 coordinate 188,510,045, forward strand.
CCCTGAAAGATGAGGGGTGCTAGAGCATTTAAAGAATCTTCTCTCCAAAAGGGAAAATAAGAGATAAATTTATCTCAAGAGAGCTCAGAGGGCACTTGAAATATCAGGGGTTTCTGCAAATAAATATATTTAGTGTTCAGGCACATAAGTACATTTGGGAAGATTATTTTGTGTAAGTTTAAACATGAAGTAGAACAATGATCAGTATGTTGTATAGTCAAAAGCTTAAGTAAGTTCCATGAAAATTAAGAATGAAATATAGATGCTTATTATTACCGTTGCACAACATTGCTTTTTAACTAATTTTGTGATCAAGGAAAATTAAATAATTAGTAACCATATTGGCGAGGAAAAAGATATATTTCCTTTTATTGATAATTAGATTCCAGCGCACTTAAATTTAAAAAATAATACTACTAGATTTAAGAGAATTTGGTAAGCTGACCACATACTGGGTAAACATTCCTTATATAGCAATATATTGTTATAAGTAGAATTGAAAAATAATCTAACTTACCAAAACTTATAAAGCAACTAAGAATATATTTAGCATGAAATATACTCAGCCTCACTAAGAAACAGAATAAACACTTACTTAAAAGACCCTCACAAAGAGATATATTATATGTGTAGATATCCTAAAAATCCCACTTGTCTCATGTTATATAAAAATCTGATTAAATTGCAATGAGAATTGCAAATAAATTAAATTACAGTGGGAGTTCAGAAGAATAAATGTTTGAAAGTAACCAATACCAGTTTGAGGAAAAAAAAAAACAACAACAAAAACTTGCGTATGTGTTGGTAAGGATTGTAGCTGCTTCAAGAACCAAAACCCAAATCCTAGTGGCTTAAAATAGGGTTTTTATTCTTGCTTACTTTGCAGTTCATTGTGGGTGGGTTGGTTCTTTTTATTTGCTTGATGTGGCTGTTATTATTTCATTTTTATTTCTAAGCATAAATTCATTGAATGTTCATTCTGTGCTAGTCGCTGGTTGTATTTTCTCATTTAATTCTCACAAGAACACTGAGATTTTCCCTATTTTATGAATGAGGAAAGCGAGGCTATGAAAGGCAGAGTGAAACAGTGGAATCAGTATTCGGAAACTCATTTTATCTGACTGTAATGTACATGGAATATTCTTTTGACTGCCTTTGTTTTTAAACCGCTCTCACAATAGAAACATTATATAACATAAATCTGAACTAGCTAAATGGATGTGGCATAGATAAGTAATACTATCCTCAGTTTTCACATCTGTAAAATAATGCAAGTTACATGAGAATATTTCCACAGCCCATGTGTTTTATAATCATGTGATTCTCTAGTGAGAAATGAATTGTGAAGCTTGCCTGGCTCCAAACCCCATGCTTTTGGTTTTCTATTCAAGTTGATGCTTATTTATTTTTATAACACTTCTGTTGATAGCAATACAGATAAATGCCCTATTTACTCCACCTGTCTCACTCTTCAGATGTGAAGGATGTTTGAGTGTGGGAGGGACTCCACAGGCAGGACAAAAACTCGCTGCTTCTTAGTGTGACCATGTGGTACAAACTCGGTGGGAGAGCCTCCTGAGCAATGAACACAGTTTCTTGTTTATAGCAAGTAGACTTGTTTGGACTTAAACATGGAAATTGTATTTTAAAACAAGAGACTATAAAAATAATATACCCTATATCCATGTAAAACATGAACAAATACAATGTAATAAATAATTGTTATAATAAAATGAGGAACAAATATTAAATATAAAATGTGGACTTTTTAATACTCAGTCCATATTTTAAAAATTTTCTATCAAAACTTCCTTGTCCTTTAAAGGGATAACCTTTTTAGAGTATTTAATTTAAAATTTAAAGTATAACCTTTTGTTGGTGTATCTATTTTAGTTTTTTTCAGGATTATAGTTTTGATTAATAAGTTTAAATCCAGTTGATTCTGACCCTGCTTTAGCAAATGACTATTATGATGTGCTTTTTAAAAATGGCTTTTTCTGTATTGCTTGGCAATGGGACCATAGGAAGTCAGCCAAATAAAGGCTATAAAATTAAATTAGCTTACTCCTATATAGCTTATCTACTAGGTACAGTTGAGTAGCTAACAGGCTTAAATACTTTTCCTTTTTTTTGCACATATGGAGTCAAATTGCCTCAAAGAAAATTAGTCCCATCATATTTGAGGCTCTGCAACATTGGTTACAAAGATATATACGCATTTTTAAAAAATAATGAGAATATTCATTGTTATGCCACCAATATTTATTAATCTTGAAGCAATATAAAACTTTTATATTATAAAAAGTAGGAATTATTCTCCCTTAATATTTTACAGTAATTCTGTAGAGAACATATTATCTACATAAAATTGGCATATTTTGAATTTACTATACATAAAATGTGTATTCCAGACATTTTTGTTATAAATGATGTCCTTTGTATGTTAAATACTGTCAAATTTCATAGCAGTTAGACTTCGTAACTCTTTAGCTATTTAATTGTTATTTTTCTGATATTTAAAAACAGTCCTACATTATTCATAGTGATTCTGAAACATTTGAGGAAGGAAAGCAGATATTCTAAATGAGTCCATATGATGTCCAACACTGCTCTCTACTGGCAAAGAAGCAAGTTATAAAACAACTATTCAGCCTTTCAAGTGAAAAAATCTTCCATTTTGAATAATATTTGATAACGAGGGTAGAATCCTCAAACTTCCACACATTTTGTTAAATAGAATACAGTGAAAGAATGGAAGAAATGAATATAGACATCACTTGTGGAAATTAGCTTAAAAGAGAAGTCTTTGTTTTCATTTTAACTATTTGAAAAATAATTATAGGAATTTTGGAAAATATTAACCAAATACGACATATCTTACTAGCATTTTAAGAGTCACCAAGGTAAATATTTTGTTTACAATAGCAAGTTTGATAACATTTCTATAGATTTAATTTCAGCAGACTGCAGCCTGTAAAATGCTGTCTTTTGTACATCTGCCTAAACAATAAGTATTCAAATACATTGAGTGGAGAGATACATGGGGTGGAGTATTTATGTTGAATATAAAATTATATCTATAGTATCAGAAACTTGTTCTGTATTTATCAGAGTCTTTATAGAAGATTTAAAAAAGACATTTACTAGTTTGTAAAATCTGACGAACTATATGCCATGCTGTTATAACTTTCATTATATAGACTAATAATACACAAAACATTTTTAGATCAATGACTACATCTTACCTTTTATAATCTAATATTCTAAATTTCCCATCTGTGTTTTATATCATTCTTATCTGTCCATTTTGCTTGGGAGTCATATTCAATGTTTTAATCTCAAAGTTCAATATATGTAGATACAATCACTTATACCTGCATATTTACACAATAATGCCAAATTATATAGTAATTGATGAGGTTTTGTTAGGTTTGCTTAATATTGTCATTGGCCGATCACTTTTATTTTAATGTAAATTGAAAAGATAATGTGCAATATTTTTAAGAAAGCCACTTCTTGGCTGTGAGGTAAAAGTTGATGCTTATTTTCATTGATACATTTTCTGGAGTGTTCTCATTTTTCTTAGTGAACATATATTAATATTAAAATTAACGTATTTATTCATAAATAAACAGAAAAACCTTGTTGCATTTTCCAGGCACAAGCACACAATTGTGCAAGACACACACTTGTACTCATGTAAACTCTATGGCCTGATATTTCTTAAAAAAAAATTCACCGTAATAAATTTTGTCTATTTGGATTTACAGCAGGGCCTTGAATAACACTCTTTGATTCAATGTTGTTTTATTCCATGTTATTGGTTATAAGGTTGATGAGAAAAAAAATATCAGTTCCCAGACAGGGCTACTGTCTGTGTGGGGTTTTCAGGTTCTCCCCATATCTGCGTGGGTTTTCTCTGAGTACTCCTGTTTCCTCCCATATTCCAAAATGCGCAGGTTTGGTAACTGATCTGTCTAAATGGTCCCCTTCTGAGTGTGTGTGTGTGTGTGTGTGTGTGTGTGTGTGTGTGTGTGTGCGCCCTGCCACTGGGTGGCGTCCTGTCTAGGGCTGTTTCCAGCTTTGCCCCGAGCTATCGGGCAAGGCTCCTGCCACCTGGGACCCTGAGCTAAAACAATTGAGTAAACAATTATCTTACTTGTTTCTATTGATCTTTCTTAAATGTATGTATAGCTCACATTTATTTTGGTGTTTAACATTGGAAGTATTTCGGTCTTTATTTAGAAGTTTGCTGATATTTTTGTGACCAGAAATATGGTGTAGGAACTTAACTGTTGTTTATATCGGTTAGCCTATGGTAAAATTGGTTGTGTTATATGTCCTTCAGCTTAAAGTTGCAGTTTCAAAGAACCTATTGATGCTGTTAAGTGAGGACTTATTGTACAGAAAAAATAAATAAATAAATAAAACCCTGAACACTTTAAGTAAGAAAAAAATGCAGGAACAAATATCACTTGCCAGACAACACATAACTTTTTTCTTTTGCTCTTTGCCAAAGTGAAAAATAACACTGAATCTAATTGTATGAAGCAAAATAGTCTGAAACATTATACTCCTTTTTTCATCATTGCTAATTTTTTTTGTTTTCTCACATGGAGGAATTAAGACATAAAGTTGCAAAACATAAAAATGAGTATTTTTACACAATTTTAAATAATGTTGAATATACCAGTGTCCCATTTTTAAGAGACTGTCAATGAAATATTCCTGTATGCCTCTTTCAGGTAAATAGCAATAAAAAATAAACCTTTTGGGATTAGCTTTTAATATTTGTCAAAATTCCCTTTCGATCCATCTAACTTGTCTTGTTTATCAATAATTCATTCATTTTTATACCTTAGTAGTATTCCATGGTATAGATGTACCATTGTTTAAGAATCCACTCATTGCAGGACAATTAGATTGTTTCTGATTTTGAGCTATTACAAAGAGAGCTACAATGAACATCCGTGCAGGACATTTACTTGAACATTAGTATTCATTTCTCTGAGGTAAATACTCAAGAGTGCAGTTGCTGCATCTTATGGTAAGTCCACATTTAGTTTGAAATGAAACTGCCAAACCATTTTTTTTTTCAGATTGGCTGTACCATTTTACATTCCTACCAGCAGTGACATCTTGTAATTTTATTTGCTATATCTGGCAACCGCATTCAGGAGTATTAATGTCTCACTTGCATGATTCCCCCTGCCATTTCCTTGAACACTCATCTTATTCCCCTTTGCAGCATTATTCTCTTCCATCTCCCTCTGAAATATGGCAGCTACCTGAGGACCCAGGATGCTGGCGCTCTTTTCAATCTCTCAGCCTTTCATTGAGACCTTTGTGCCAGGATCTCCCGAATCCACATGTTCTCTTCAGAATTCTTCTTCCTCAGACTCCAGCACTGTATACCCAATTGTTGAGTCTGGTATCTCTAGTGAGCACGTCAGAGTCATGTTAACCTTAATATGCTTGAGTGTATGTTTCATTTCTTCCTTACATCTTATTAATATGCCACCTTTTTAGAGAGAACTGATGACTCTTTCTTAAATATTACCCACACTCTGCCCAGTCCATCTGTGTGATCAAAATATAATATGTGTGTCTGTGATCTAGACATAAAATAGACATAGATACACATACACACTTACACACACAGACACACACACACACACACACACACACACTCATGAGGATAAAATCCATGAATACAGGGACATTTTTACCTGATCGCTACCCAGCACTTAGTAAATGCTAGACTGATAGTAAATACTCAAAAATATTTTAAGGAATAAATGAGCATATGTTAAATTAACAGGTTATCTTCTGGGGGCTTAATTTCATTTTTATTTTATCAAATAATCTATGTCCATTTAAAATAGTCAAATATTTCTCCAAAATTTATAATGAAAAAATTAAAAAACAAAACCTTCTCTAGCCCTTCTCCTAAGCCTCACTCACTGAAGCAACTGCATTTTGCTTTCCTGTCTTTTGTTATTTTATTCTATTCTGGATAAAGTGTTGTACTGCTGTGCTTTTATTCGTCATATCTGTAGTGGCCATCAACACCCTCCTGACATATCTGCCCTGTTTCCTGGGCTCATTACTCCCTCTGTTTTATTTTAGTTCCTTCTTTTCTTACTGAGAACTGGGACATGGCAGGCAATTTTTTGAGCCTCTGCACATCTCAGTATGAATTTTTCTTTCCTCATAGCCTGGAAACTTGGTTCAAAATTATCATTTCCCTCAGAATTTGAAGTTACTTTCTTCCATTATTGCTGATGTGAAGAAGTCTGATGTCATTCATATTTCTGGGTTTTGTTTTTGTTTTATTTTTTGTTGTTTGTTTCTCTCTGGAATCTTTTGTGATTTTTTTTCAATCTCTAGTGCTTTGATGGTAAGCCTCTTTGTGCTTGTATATTTGTTTTCACTCATTAATATAACATTGAGTCCCTTAATCTGAAAATTTATACCTTTGGTTCTGGGAAAGTGATTGATAGTGTTCTATCCTTTAGTTTTTCCTCTTCTCTATTTCTAGGACTCTATTTGGTTTAATGTTGGCTCTCCTAAAACAGGTTCTCACCTTTAGGCATGCATCAGAATCACCTGTAGAAGATATTAAATCTGATTGCTGGGCCTCACTCCCAGTTTCTGATTGAGTAGAATTTGTATTTATGACAATTTCCTAGTTATGGTAGTTGATGCTACAAGTCCTTGGACCAAATTTCGAAAAACACTATTCTAGACCAATTCTTCAATTGTTCTAGTTCGTATCTTATTTTAAATATCTGGCTTTTGCACTCTCTGTTTCCTTTCCTTGGCCTGCATTTCCCCAAATATCTACCTTTCTGATTGTTTTACATTTCACCTTATCTGTGACATCTCCTCTGAACATCCTATTTAAAATGGTATGACACAGAAAGCAGACACAGTCACATACTCTGACTTCCACCAGTTCTAAGTAGCATATAATTCACTTATTCTTATTAATATTGTTTGGCTCACCCACTAGGATGTAAGTTCCATAAGGGCAGGGAAATTTGTTTTTTCAGTGCATTTAATAAAACATTATTTTTTTTTAATTAACAGATAATATTGTATGTTTTTATTCTGTATGTTTTGAAGTATATATGCATTGTGGAATGGTTAAATCTAGCTAATTAACAAATGTATTACCTCTCTGCTGTATTCTTAACTCCTAAAATACAACCTGAAAAATTGTAAGCATTTAATAATTACTTCTTATAATTTTTTCTAACTTTATTTTTTAATATTATCATTTTTTAATTACCTGAGTCATATTTTTAAATTTCTGTCAATTCTCTTTTGTTCTTTATGTGCTACTTTTTCTAGCATCCTGGTTTTATTATGAATGCAATATATCTATATTGACTGTAGAGTATTAGCCATCATTTTTTTTATTGCGCTCCCTCTACTTTTCTAACCATTCCTTTTGTTGCTGTTTTTTTTCCCCCAGTCTTTTCATGTGAGAGGCTTTTCTCGAATATATTCACATACTTGCTGTGTTTTGATATTTAAGATCGACTCACTCAAAAGCCAACTGGCGGTTCTGTGGACTTGAGCAGGGCTTGTCATCTGCTGACTGATCAGGTGACCCATCTATTTCACATGGAAACGTTAACTGTCAGCATAGGTTGTCTTGTTTTCCTCGGTCTGTTTTCCTCAGGGAAAAATTCTTCTGCTTGGAGGCTTATAAGATTAGCAGCTAGTATCCTGGGAGCCAGGCTGAGAAAAGAGTCTAGGGGAACTTTCAATCCTGCATGTGGACTTCTGCTTAGTATCTTTGTCAGTTAGGTGCCTCACTTCTGCTCCCAGCCATGCTTACTAGCATTTTGCAGCCCAGAGGTCCCCGGCCTAATTCTTCAGATAGTTAACAACTCTTCTGTTGGGATAGGGTGAATTAATTCCCTGGTCACGGCATGATTCCTTTTTTTTGTTTCACCCTCCAGGAACCAGGCAGAGTGGAAAAGATAAAAATCAAAGTTTGTATACTTTGTACAAGCCTTTTGATGGCACTTAGGACAGTTATTTATGGGTTTATATACTAGACTGTATGTCCCTGGAATGTAAGCATTTAAGCCTTTAACCAGTGTCTTAGGCCAGTTTCTCCCAGAAATAAATCCCAAGGCAAAAGATTTAAGTGCATATGATTTATTAAGGGGGTGCTCCCAGAAGAAATCAGTAAATGAGTAGAAAAAGCAGAGCCGACAAGAAGAAAAAATGAAGGAAGAGTAGACATCAGCTGGAGCCACAGCATTAGCCTAATTCCATGGTAAGCTCTGCATCATAACATTATACCTTAGCGTTTACCTCACCTCCAAACAAATAAGCTGGGCTTTTGTACCTCCACAAAACTTGTGGAGTTACAAAACTTGACTTGGCTGACTTTCCTTAGCCAAGTCAGTCGTTGGCTAAGGAATGTGATGATGGGGTGGTGTGGGTATGGGAGGGATGAAAAGAAACTCCCATATGCTTCTAGCTCTCAATACTGGCAAGGTGACTTTGACTTCATTGCCCAAAAGGAATACTCTGGAGGTCTTGAGTGTGAGTCATTACCAGCAAAGCATGTGGAAACTGGAAGATGGGTCTCTGAGTTGATAAAGTGGATCCCAGGAGAACTGAGCAGGCACCAGTTGTGTCCACTAAACCCTAGTATCTTCCCCTAACAATCATTTGATAAGGGAATGGCAATCCCTCATAAACAACTTGTAGTTTAAAGAGGTTTTCTTTTTTTCATCTCTTACTGCAATTTCTCTTTAGAATGATTTTTCAGGAGAGAAGAACAGCATTTATTATCTCTATCTTTCAAAAGAGTCAGACAAGGCAGAAATTAGGGGACTTTCCTAACATTCTCAGATTCTAAATCTCGAGCTTGTTCTAACATGCTACCTCATATCTAAGAGTTTTATAAGTATTTTAGATAGGTGTAAGAAATGCACATAAATATGAATTATTTAATCTATATATCATGATTTTTTGTAATTAAAAAAATACAGGAAGTATAAGGCATAAACTTTTTTTAGTTTTAGCATGATTGTCCTATAGGTTTTCTAACATTACATAAGAAAAAGTTGGGTTAAGTAGAGTGCTCCATATTAAGATATATTTTAATTTAATACCCACCATCACTCAAGGCTTCTCCCAGTGTTGCATTACACAAAGGATTTAATTAAAGCTAATGTGAAATAAACATGTTAAAAGGTTTCCTGGAGCACAGCTAGAGGTTGATTCATTTCAAATATACTTGGAGTTCTTCCATATTTTTCCCCTATGGCCTTATTTGCATATAATACTTTTGACTCATGACATTCCTGCTGAAGTTTGAATATTCCTCCAGAAATACTGCCAGTAAAACTTATAGTCTATTACTGATAGACCAGACCCTTCCTTCTTCTAGTTCAATAATTACTTCCCCATAAAGGATCCATCTTTGCTTCTCTGCTCCTGCTAATCCTAGACCATCCACTAATCGCAGTGATATGATAAATTCAGAGAAGTTGAGAACTGTTTACCCCAGGGATGTATTCAGAACTAAATAGTTTCTATTATGTTAAATCCTCTTCAGTTACTTGAACTCTTCTTCCTTTCTGGATGATCTGAAACAGTGCTTTTCAAACCTGGTGGCACATTAATATCGCTTAGGGAGCTTTAAAATATATAGATGGCCTGACTCTGACCCAGGCTAGTCAAATCAGACTTGCAGGCAATAGTAATAAGATTATAGCTTCCAATATGATTCTTTCTCTTTTTTTTTAAATTGAGACAGGGCCTCACTGTGTTGCTCAGGCTGCCCTCAAACTCCTGAGCTCAGGCAGATCTCTTGCCTCAAACTCCTGAGTAGCTGAAACTACAGGTTGCATATTAAAGCACCATATCGTAACCACTGCACCTGGCTAAAACGCCCCTATGATTCTGTCATTCAATCAAGTTTGAAAACACTCATCCCAAACTGGAGAAATGTGACAGCTCCATTGGTGTCAGGAATAGATTTGGCTGTCTTCCAATCTTGATAGCAGGATTTCATTTCTTTTTCTGCTTAAAATTTCTCATTCACTTTGGTCTTTTATGTATGCCTGGTCAACCAACAACTGGAGGTCACAGTGAGGCAAACTGAAAGCCTGTTCATATCTTATCTAGGGCCTCTTAACAATTTGGTATATTTCAAGCATATTAAAAAAGGAACTATTGGCCGGGCGTGGTGGCCCACACCTGTAATCCCAGCACTTTGCGGGGCTGAGGTGGGTGGATCACGAGGTCAGGAGATCAAGACCACCGTGGCCAACATGGTGAAACTCTGTCTTTACTAAAAATACAAAAATTACATGGGCGTGGTGGCGCGTTCCTGTAATCCCAGCTGAGGCTGAGGCAGAAGAATCGCTTGAACCAAGGGGTTGAAAGTTGCAGTGAGCCGAGGTTGCACCACTGCACTCCAGCCTGGAAACACAGCGAGACTCCATCTAAAAAAAAAAAAAAAAAAAAAGTAACTGTTGTCCCTTACAGAATCTGAAAAGTGAAACTTCTCTTTGCCTCAGTGCAACTGAGCTTTACTCTCTAGCCTCCATTTGTTCATCAGAAAGGGAACACCAGTTGTTGCCTGTATTTTCAACTCATCTTTGTACCTACCTTCCACTATCCTCATGGCCTGTTAACTGTTTCTAACTCTGTTCTTTAGACTTTGGTACAAGGAGTCACTTGCAATGCTTCCAGAAATATAATTCGCTTGCCCTACCTCTAAAGATTCTGATTTATTTGACCAAGGAACATGTATTTTTACATTTTAACCAACGCTCTAGGTAATTTTCATGCCAGTTGTGCAGCGAACCCATTTTGAAAATCAAAACTCTAATTTCCTTAGTGATTATTTTTTTCAAGAATGAAGGAAGGAATAAGAGATAGCATGACTTTACTGTATTTTCCCTTCTATTCTGTAAGTTAATACATGAAAAAGATTCCACTTATGGAATTTTTGATGTAGTTTACAAACACGTATTCTCCTATGTCTATACATAGGAGAAGTGATTAATTCGTGAATCTCTTTGGTCTTATAATTGGTGGTATGTCACAAGAGCAAAAAAAAATCTTTGGAAAATTACATATATTTCATGAATTTAATGTTTGTTTGCCCTATATATAGAATTTTTTCTAGAATAAAACCTGTATATTTCAATTCTAATTGGTATTGAACATTTAGTGATACTAGACTTCTGTTTAGGAGGTATTATATCTTTCCAAGGTAGAGATTTTATTGCAGTGTGATAATTATTATGAAACTTTTTTCACTTTTTGGATTGGTCAGGTTTTACTTAAACACACTTACTGTATTAGTCTGTTCTCATACTGCTAATAAAGACATACCCAAGACTGGGTAATTTATAAAGGAAAGAGGTTTAATTGACTCACAGTTCCACGGGGCTGGGGAGACCTCAGCAAACTTAAAATCATGGCAGAAGATGAAGGAAGAGCAAAGTCATGTCTTACATGGCAGCAGGCAAGAGAGCTTGTGTAAGGGAATACCCCTTCATAAAACCATCAGATCTCATGAGACTTACTATCATGAGACCGGCATGGGAAAGACCCACTCTTGTGACTCAATTACCTCCCACCAGTTTCCTCCCATAACACATGGGAATTACAGGAGCTACAATTCAAGATGAGATTTGGGTGAGGACACAGTCAAACCATATCACTTACTGACTACCTTCAGGTTTATTTAAAACAGTAAAATTGGCCGGGTGTGGTGGCTCATGCCTGTAATCCCAGTACTTTGGGAGGTGGAAGCAGGCGGATCACGAGGTCAGGAGATCGAGACCATCCTGGCTAACACGGTGAAACCCCATCTCTACTAAAAATACAAAAAATGAGCCAGGCACAGTGGCGGGTGCCTGTAGTCCCAGCTACTCGGGAGGCTGAGGCAGGAGAATGGCGTGAACCCGGGAGGCAGAGCTTGCAGTGAGCCGAGATAGCGCCACTGCACTCTGGCCTGGGCGAAAGAGTGAGACTCCGTCTCAAAAACAAAACCAAACTAAAACAAAACCAAAAAACAGTACAATTGTAGATCATGTATGTTTTATTTCTTTAACTATAGCTTTACTTAGTTGTATATCTTGGCTATTAAAAGAAGCTTGTATTTTAAATTCTACATGTTAGATGAGTCTCATAAGTGGAAAACAAAGAAAAATGTTTACTTGAAAAAAAAAGCTAATGGCGAAATCTTTGGCATCAGCAGGCAGAGGCAAGTGGGGAGAGACGTGAGAAAAAAAAGAAATTGTAAACTTTGAAATTTACTATTGATGTTAAATATAGTAACAAAATACAATTACATGCTTTGAATGAAAAATAATTTTTAATTACTAATAAGTTTACTAAATTTTAACTGTTGAGATCAACATTATTCCCTTGGGCCTAATAAAATAACTTTAGTTTTCTTTCCAGTAAAAATCTACAAGTAAAATATTTAGAAAACAAGTATGTTTTTAAAAATAATCTTTGATTAACAGGAAGTATAAATGATAAAGTTTAGTTACATTTTCATATAATATAAAAATAATATAAAATAATAATTCTATTTAATTAACATATGAGTTTGCATTACTATTAAACCATTCTATTATGCAATCTTATATTTCAACATGATGCAATGATATATGATATGGTAAAAGCCTGTGTCTCACAAATGACCATTTTCAGTTTCTTGGCAGTACAGAAGTGGAACAGCCAAAAGGAACAGAAGTTGTGAGAGATGCTGTAAGGAAACTAAAGGTAGGGAAAGGCCTTCAAATAAATTACAAGTGTATTGACTCTGTCATGTTTTCAGCAGATTGATGGAGATCAAAGCATGAACAGCTTTGCTGCAGGTATAGCTTCACCCTATTAAAAATGAACTATTGAACAAATGTAATCATATCAAGGAAACATTTTTAATAACAAACATGTACACAAAATTGTGTTTAAAATATGGCATACTGTTCACATTTTTCTAAGGTATAATGTGTCATATTAAAAATAATATTTTATGGCAGTGTGTCTTGAATATTTGTTTTGTAGCTTGCCTTTACTTTGCTTGGATAATGTGAACCTATGTCCCAAATCAAAAGCTAGTAATGGCATAACAACTGTCTTTAAAAGCTAAGATATAATATCCACCAGTTAAAAATGTGGAGTCAGAGTTGATTCCAGCCAGAATTTTGCAGTGACACTGTATGTTAAAGATTTCCTAATCTACAGGTCCAACAGGATCTGGCAATGTCCGTAAGTAGCCATGGGGAAACTGGTGAGACTAAGAGAGGAGAGAAGGACATTTAATAAGCAACCCCACATATCCTAGTCAACAAGTTTCCTGAGAAAATCTTACATAAGATGCTACACACCATGTTTTTCTAATTGTTCCGCATCTCGAAGGACATTGTTGTCACTGAGCTTTTGAAATTTACAAAACTCCTTCAACAGAATTCTCAGCTTTATCATATAAGAAAATACACATTATCACTACTTTTTTTTTTTACACAGTTAAATGTTATTCTCTATAGTTGCTCTCGTATTTTTGGAGAAACAACCCTTCTCTAACTTTATTTGGTTTAGGGACCATCCGGTTATTCTAAAGGAGGGTTAGACCTCTGAGTGTGCCAGGCAAAGTCAGAGACATTAAATGGTATTACTTTGCTTTGAGAATATCATATCTGGTGGAATCCACTCTGTGTTTAAATTGAGAAATAATTGAATTGGCATGACTTCTATTCTGGGTAAAGAAATAAAGGTCAATAATATTTTATCCATCTTATTTTATATGAGAATATTTTACTAATCGTTTTAAGTAAATATGCTAAAATCTCCGAAGATAATATCACTCCCATTTGGGAAAAAAGTGGATTAGCCAACTATTTATTTCCACCATTCATTAGGTAATAATTCAGATTTGCCTTTTATTGGCCACTAGTTTTAATCATTCCAAAAGAGGATTTAAAAGGGCTCACAGTTTATGGACACATTAGAATAGGATTCTATTTAAATGCTTTTAAAATGTTGAGGATTCTGGGCATGAATCCAACTTCACTACAATCAGAATGTTTTATGAAAGAACAATGTTATTTACACATAGTATTTCTTTATGCCTAGGAGGTTGTTTATTCAGTCAACCCAAATCAAAAACCAAAAAAAATTCAATTGAATAATGAATAGATCAAATGTAAAGATATATTTGAAATCAAATGCTTTCTAAACAATGACGAGTTTACATATATTTTGCAGGATTTTGTATGTATTTCTATGGAGTTTCATGTTTAGAAATGTACTCTGTTAATAAAAGAATGTGACCTACAATAAGGTAAAAAATTAGGTAGTATAGTTTAAAAATGCACACTTATTTTATAGTAGCTGTTTTTTCTCAAATGTCTTCCAAAAGGGAGTGTATTTAATAAGCAATTTTACTGTGCTGATTGCAAACATTTTGTATATCAGGAAAGTATATCTAAGGGTAATGATTCATACACTAATGATAATGAATAAAACAATGCTTTTTATCTATTTTTATATATATATATTTTTTTTTTGCTTTTTTTGTGTGTCAAGGGTCAGAAGCTACAATTCAAAGTATACTAAGAATATTTTTTAAATGTCAAGCCTGGCGCTACTGGCTCGCAATGGCCAGTAGGTGGTGGTGTGGCTCTACTAAAAAAAAAGAGAAAAAAGAACCTTGCTCTTTGATCATACTTACACATCTCCATTTTAATTTCCTGCTTATTTTTCTTTAACATATGAATTCTGACTACTTTTAAAAAAATCTATATAATTCAGTATGTGAATTTATTTGCCATGTAAGGTAACATTTTATTTATATTTACTCCTTTTTCAGCAATATTAATGTAATGGCTTCTGATATTAAAAAAGAATTTAAAATTTAAGAATAAAAGCTGATGGAAAAATTAAAGAATTCTCAACAATGAATTTTTCATGCTTCTGTGTTTAATGATGCCTGCTTAGTTTTCAAAAAAATTTAAAACTGACTTTTTTACACTCTTTCTATCATTTTTTAGAGAATTTACAGTTTATAAATTTTTCCTTTATAAATATAATTATTTTTATAAGTATTAACCTTTTAAGGTTCAGATACTATATTTATCAAAACATGTTCTTTATTTCCTAATCATGTTCAGCAGTTTCTATTTCTTAATCATGTTTTAGCTGGGCTTGGTGGCACACACCTGTAATCCCAGCTACTTGGGAGGCTGAGGCAGGAGAATCACTTGAACCTGGGAAGCAGGGGTTGCAGTGAGCCGCGATCGCGCCATTGCACTCCAGCCTGGGCAACAAGAGGGAAACTTCATCTCAAAAAACAAAAAAACAAAAACAACAACAAATAAAACAAATTTTCTAAAATGTAGTAATTTTAAACCCTTTCAACTTCTATGTATTGAATAGCATTGTTATTGGAACGAATTTTATTTTTAATAGTGATTTATATATATTTTATTAATACAACTAGTACAGATGTTGGGGGCTGAATGTATTTCATACACAATTTGTGATGTTTACATGTAAGTAAGTATTGATATATAGATTAAAAGCTTATCAATTTCCCTGGGAGATACCCAGTGGGCAGCATTCCTGGAACCCAGTTTTAGACTGAAGATCCCCTCACTGCAGTACAACTAAATTAAAGTTACACGAAATTACTGCAAGAAAATGTAGCCGTTGGGAATTGCTGTCAAGTCTTGTGAAGTCTCAGCCTAGTAGATTTTCCATTTGAACTCACTCTTTCTGTGTTGTATAACACTATTTTGTCTTCACAATCAGTTACCTAATTAATAAAACATTTAGAGCTTAATTTAATTATATATAAACATCGCTCATTTCCCGCAGGATTATTAGAAATACTTTAAATTAAAAATATAAACATGAGAACCCCAGAGAAGAATAGCTTCAAATAATAGGCCCGAAGTAGTAAATTAATTTTATTGCCTAACACTCTATATTCCATTAGTAGTTTACTTAATTTCACTTTTTAAAAAGTCCTCTGAGAAATGGATAGAAATTATATAATAAGATTGAAACTCAGTTGTGCTCCCTTTAAATTTTCTTTAACAGTTCTATTTATCAGTAGTATATATTTAACCAAATACTTTATTTCAAGTACTACTCCATCCTTCCCCATCATTTTATGATGACAAAGGCTTGGTTATATTTGTTTGTTGCATCCAGTCATTCTCCAAAATGCTTATGCATCACTTCCTTTGAATACTTTTTATTGGATTATTATATTCAGGGTTTAATGGCAGATCACTGTATCCATCTAGATCTACCAAGAAATAAATCCACTGAAGCAAAAATTGAAAGAAATTTACAAAAAAAGACTCTTCAAGCATTAACATTAAAGTAGTAAATAGGGAGAAAATAGAATATAATGTTATGTAGATTGATCAACATATCTTCCTAAGATTAATTAGAAATATTAGGAAGGCAAGAGGTCTGTAAGTAGGAAAAGGGACTTAGAGGGGAGCATGCAAACTATAGAATACAGTTAGCTTAAGTTTTAGGAAAAAAAAGAAAGGCAGGAAGGAGAATATTAAACTGAATAAAATATAGATTGAATGAATATAACCTTAGGCATGAGAGTTGTGTAACATATGTTCAAAAATCAAGGCCAATAACCAGTGTAAACCTTGATATGCATGAAGGTAGAACTGGGAATTTTCTTTTCTAAATGCAGAAAATATATTGTATAAAAGAAAAAATTATTTGGTGAATATCTGCAAAACTAATTACTAGGCCTAATTCCTAAAAACCCACTTTATGACCATGGTACATAGCTTATCTGGGACTTACTGTTCTTATCTTTGAAATAAGAAGCTTAGATTGCATGAACCTGAAGCTGTTTTGAGCACAATTAATTCATCCTGTTATGAAGAAGAGAGAAAAGTTTCAGAAAACCTAGATTAGAGATGTTGTGCTTATTTTTATTTTTCTTTATCTCATTCTGTCCTTCTTCCCTCTCTTCCTTTCTTCCTCCCCACTCCCTTCTTACCTCTCCACTTTGTTTTTCTACCTCAGCCCCTACTTCCTTCCTTTCTTTAATTCTTCCATTCTTTCTTCCCTTCTCAATAGATAAGTTTAATAATAGTGGTTGTTTTGTTGTAGATGTTTCAGGGGGAAAAAATTTAAAAGGTTGCACAGTTCTTGTCAGAGGTCACAGGAATGCTTGAGTCTGGATGTGGAAGGGGCTTCAGAAGTCATGCTCAGTCTGTTCCTGGAAAACAGCAGCACCTAGGAAACCAGCTGAGAATGCTTCTGCAGCTGATAATGAGAGTTGCTTTATCCAGACGCATTCACATAGGGGGAGAGCAGCTGACTTATTTTGTAAGCCTTCCTATATGAAAACCTTCAAATTGCTTAATTATGCTGATATAAGGAGATTATGAAGGGAAAATAAACAAAATTAATTCATATTATTTGGGAGAGAGCTGGGATAATTTTTAAAGATCTACACTCAAGCAAAATAAATTTATTAAAGGCAAAAAAGAAAATTATCTGGCACGAATTAGTTGTATCGTGCAGCAGTAAGACTGCTGGATACAAAAAATAGCAACCTAAGTTCGTAGAGCAAGACAGACAGCAAGCTGAAAAATTATACCACCCAAAATGGAATAAAACAAATGGTACCCCCTGGGATAGGAAGGCAGACACTTAAAGGCATTCATATATGCATTAATTATATTATTATGTGTGGCAGTGCAAAGCCATGAAAAGAGAGAAAGACTTTTAATCACTCTGTGCTCCAGGACGGAGCTATACCATGTGTATTCACATCTGCCCTAAATTACAGTGAAATACACAGTGCAAGTAACTGTGACATACAAGAGGACTAGAACGCTGTCTTGCATTACATGTCATCAATTTTGAGTCAGGTTGGGATGATCTATATCCCTAGAGAGAAAAAGTTACTCTAGAAAATAACTTTTTGAAGCCCTAGAAGAGGGGCAAGAAATTCTTTCTTCTAATAGTTTTCTTTCCATTTCTTAAAAAGAAAAAGTTGGATGCTGGGGTGATTGCAGAGGAGAGAAGGAATGTAGGGAGAGAGTAAAATTGCCAATTAAAATCAAGATGCCCAGTAAACTTTGACAAATATTTTTTAGTACAAATATGTTCCAAATATTGCATGGGCTAACGTGTATACTAAATACTATATATATGTTGTGTTTGTGCCTATATTTTAAAATTAAAGTTTTAAAAAGAATATTAATTGTTTAATACTCAAGTTTAGCTGGGCTCCTGAAATTTTCCCCCACTAAATTAAGCAATGCTAGGAGAGAGGCAGAGACTCCATCTGCTAAGCACATGAGTATTCTGGTTTTCTTTTTGATTTTATAACAGAATCGAACAAGCATTTACATACACCTACTAACTCAATGAGAAAGTATAATAAATACTACTATGAAAGTATTGAAAAAAAAAACTGTGCTTTCAAGATACTCACTATATTTGTAGTTCTAGACTGAGTCTAGTTCTATACCTGAGTCTTTCAGCTGGGATAATTACTTCAATTCTTAGCTTCAGTTTGGAAATGGTAATCTGCTTCTTTTTATTTATTGATGTGGTTGGATAGAATAGTGTTCCAAACTAGGTAAGTATCTAAAAATGGCAAAGAGGGCATATTCAACAGCTGATGAACTGCAAATTCTCTGAAGATAATAACAACAAAAGATTCACAGAAAAACAAACTGATCTCTACATATCTTCCCACAAAGTATTTTGAGTTTTCTCAACTGTCTGGTATGAATACGTTTTTGTAAATACCATGAAAGAAGTGCATTAAAAATCTTAATTTAAAAAACTTGCTGAAAATCAATGTGAATTATAATGGCTGATTGCTATGATTTTTAAATATATTGAGACTATCTTTATAAAATGCTTTATACTTGGCAAAAATTCACTTAATTAAAGTCTGAAATTGAATATGAACTCCAAATGTATATTTATTTTTGTTCATTCTTTATAGAAATAGAAGTGTAGCTTTGTGAATAATTTTTCATTCGTAGTTTGCAAGACATATCAAGAAATCTGAAGGCCAGAAAATTCCTAAAGTGGAGTTGCAAATATCAATTTATGGAGTAAAAATTCTAGAACCCAAAACAAAGGTAAGGCTTTTTTTTTAATGTTAGAGGCAATCTTTAATTAATTGCAATTATATTCCTACTTTAACAAATATTTAAAATTTTTTGCCACCCTGAACTGTTTAGTTCTGAGTTAATGACAGTTCGAAACTCTAGGAGTTTTAGAAGTGAAAACAACTTTTGGAATTGCATTATAAGTGATCTTTTCTTCAGCTTGTTTGGGATATAATATTAATAACTTATGTTAAGTGCATTCAACAGTGTTTGGACGTGTATTTGGGAATGTTTTTTTCATGAGATGTGAAAGAGATGCATACAGTGTGGTTCACTGAGTATGAAAGAAGATAAAAGCTGTGTGTTATTAAAATATTCTGCATTGACTTTTATTTCCTGTAGATGTAATCAGTGTGTATTAGTTTTTTACGGAGGCTGAAACAAAACACCACAAACTGGGTGGCTTAAACAGCAGAAAATATTTTCTCACAGTTGTGGAGGCTGGAGTTCCAAGATCAAGATGCCAGCAGGGTTAGTTTCCTCTGTAGCCTTTCTCCTTGGCTTACAGAGGGCTGCCCTCTTGCTGCCTTTTCACACTTGTCTGGTGTCTCTTCTTATAAGGACACTCATCAAATTGGATTAGGAACCATACTCATGGCCTTATTTTAACTTAGTTACCTTTTTAAAGGCCTTATCTCCTGTTTGAAGAAAAACTAGACAAATTAAATTTAGCAGAGTTTATTTGAACAGATAATGATTCATGAATCAGGCAGCACTTGAAACCAGATGTTCAGAAAGGTTTGCCCAGCAGCGTGAACATGGAGCTTTTTATAGGCTGAACACAGACTCAAAGGTGACAACTCACCTGATTGGCTATAGCAAGGCATATACCTTATATGGATATGTAGTGATGAGCTGGCTGCCTGTAATTGGCTGAAACTTAGCTATGTGTTATACTTCCAAATTAGTGTTCAGTTTATTTACATACTAGTTAGGTTGCAGTTTGTTGTATAGGAACTCAAAATACACAGACAACCCTAGGTGAATGGCCTCATGCTTATTTAATTTAGCACTCCAACCACAGTCTCATTCTGAGGTGCTGGGGATTAGAGCTTCAACATGTGAATTTTGGGGAACACAATTCAGCCCATAATACAGTGTAAACTTAAGTTTCTTGTATTTAGGACCCTTCAAAGCAAATAAAATATTTAAAAATAAAATCTGTTCTGGATTCAAATTCATTAACATATACTTGTTTTGGACTAAAGTGTTTCCTTCCAAAATTCCTGTGTTCATGCCCTAACCCCTAATATGACTATATTTGAAGATAAGGCCTTCAAAGAGGTAACTTAGGTTAAATGAGATTTTAAGGGTGGGGCCTCATCCAATATGTCTAGTATTCTTACAAAAAGAGGAAGAGACACCAGGGATACGTACACTCAGAGTAAGGACCACGTGAAGGCAGCAATCTGCAAGCCAAAGAGAGAGGCCCCAGAGAAACCAAACCTACCGACACCTTGATCTTAGACTTCTAACCTGCAGAACTGTGAGAAAATAAATTCCTGTTGGATAAGCCACCCAGTCAGTGGTATTTTGTTATGGCAGGCTTAGTAAACAAACACAGTACTTTATTCACAATGCCTCAGAGTTATCATTTAGTAATTTTGATAAGACCATATTAGTCAATTTGGAAAAATTAATATTTAACTCCAATTATTTTATAAATACGTATCGTCAAAGTGTTCTTCTAACACCATAGGATACATATTGACAAATTAATTCAGTATAAAAGCCAAAAGAGGAACTTCTGGCCTGTTAACAGATTATGAAAAATGTTTCCCACAGGTCTGCAACTTTTCTCTAGTCCAGCAAGTGTCTTTGATACCTTCATCTATGTAAATTCCAGTTCCCAGCAACAACTTGCTATTTAAAGTGTGGCCTGCAGACCACCAGCAACTGCATCTATTGGATGCTTGTTAGAAATGTTGAATTTAATGCCCCACTACAGACCTACAGAATCTGTATTTGCAATTAAAGAAGAAACCTAGTGTTTCGCATGCACATTAAAGTTTGAGGGGATCTGCTGTTGTGCATGGTTTAGTGGCTTAATGCGGTAGGCCTCATTTTCAAATTGTAGCTTATGGAATAGCGACATAAAAATTAACTGAGGCATTTGCAAAAGTAATTTCTAAGGCCCCAAATTTGCCCCCAGAATCAGAACCTCTAACTGTGGAAATCTGTAGTAAAGATCAATGGCATACCTTCAACTTCCCATATTAAAGAGCAATGGCATTCCTTTAAACTTTTCAAGACGTGAATTTAAGTCCTCTCAACAATTATCCTGTCTAATCTTCTCTATTATTCACCCTCAATATTCAATTACAAACAAAGATGTGAAGATTTACTTTAGTTACGGCGATTCTAAAATAACTACTGCTAAGGTGGCTGAAAACAGAAAAATGAAATGGTGAAAAGATAGTAGAGGGTTGATTCAAGCATATAATGGGATATATGTAGTTTGCTGGGAAACAAGGCAATTGAAAGCAAGGTATGAATGAGATAAATTCATTAGGCAATTAGCAGTTACATAAAGAACAATAGACCAAGGAAGCAATAAATTACAGAAGGACAATGCAATCAAAAGTGTAGCAACAAAGTGTAGTCTTATGTGTCATGAAAATAAGAATAATCCTATTCCTACATCTTCTTTTCAAAATTAAAAGGATATAGAGTGGTAAATGTCCAGCCGGAATAGGGTATTTGTAGGCCATGCTTATGTTGAAAGTTTTTTTCTACACCATATGAATTAGGTAGCTGTTTTGGAGTGTGTGTACATGTTTGTGTGTGTATGTGTAATTAATATTATTTTCAATTTCTTATCTGAAGGTTTGGGGCTTGTCCCAGCACACATTAAAATATATAAAGCTGATAATATACTTTATGTATCATTTTCGTATGTTCTTGTTATTTTTTATTTGAAACGACCTATGGTATATTCTAAACTCTAATAATTTCACTACGTTCATATACCATAATTTACCAAATTATTCTTCTATTATTGAACATATGGAATGTTTCAAATTTTTTGTTAGTTGATAATCACGTTTAAATATTTACAAAATACAAACACAATTAAATGCAGTATGTAGAGAAAACTTTTTTGGGTTTTAGAATTCACAGGTTAATAATGGCATGTCCTTAGAAATGCATAAAATGCTAATTGCTTAAAGCGCTACAAGATGGCTACCACTAACTACCGCTACAAGATGGCTACCACCTACGTTTATAGGGTATGTGTGTGTGTAAAGAGAGACGAAAATGGATCATGTAATGCAAATGTGGCATGATGTTACCAGTTGGCTAGGTGAAGAGTATATGGGTATGCATTGCAACCTTTTCTATTATTTTCTGCATGATTTCATCTGACCTTTTAAATGAGACTATTTGTTCCAATGAAAGATATGTGAACTGGCTGGGTGCAGTGGCTCATGCCTGTAATCCCAGCACTTTGGGAGGCCGAGATGGGGGAATCATGAGGTCAGCAGTTTGAGACCAGCCTGGCCAACATGATGAAACCCTGTCTCTACTAAAAAAAAAAAAAAAAAAGTAGCTGGGTGTGGTGGTGGGTGCCTGTAATCCCAGCCACTCAGGAGGCTGAGGCAGGAGAATCGCTTGAACCCGGTAGGTGGAGGTTGCAGTGAGCCAAGATCGCGCCACTGCACTCCAGCACAGGTGACAGTGTGAGACTGTCTCACATAAAAAAGAAAAGAAAGAAAGATATGTGAAAAGCTCTTTTAAAGACTTAATCAACAAGTTAGGCTATCATATCTGTTTGGTTTTTCTTCCTTGGCTTCCTGACCACTTGAAGAAGAAACCTACCTTTATGAAACCCAATTGACCAATAACTTATGATTTATTAGGTTATTCCTTATACCTGCTCTCCTGATTGTTGGTTATTTACCTGGAATAAGGATAATTTTTTTTCATTAACTTTAAATATTTGTAAATACAAAGACAGAAATACCAAACTTTTTTTAAAAAATAGCGTATGATACTGTAGAGTGAGGAAAAACCAAAGTGAATAGGGTCAAAAATTAAGCTGGGCTTAGAAAAAGTCTGTGGTACAGCAACAGTAGAGAATAGAGAACCCAAAATTAAAGCTGCACACCTACAGCCATCTGATTTTTTGACAAAGTCAACAAAAATAACAGATGGGGAAATGATTATTCAATAATTGGTGCTGGGATACCTGGCTAGCCATATGGAAGAGATTGAAACTGGACCCTTACCTTTCACCATATACAAGAATTTACTCAAGATGGATCAAATATTTAAATGTAAGACCTTAAAGTATAAGAATCCTGGAAGAAAACCTAGGAAACACCATTCCGGACATTGCCCTTGGGAAAGAATTGATGACTAAGTCCTCAAAAGCAATTGCAACAAAAACAAAAGTTGACAAGTGGGACCTAATTAAATTAAAGAGCCTCTGCACAGCAAAAGAAACTATGAACAGGGTAAACAGACACCTACAGAATGGGATAAAGTATTTGCAAACTATGCATTTAACAAACATCTAATATCCGGAATCTATAAGGAACTTAAACAATTGAACAAGCAAAAAATAATAATAACCCGATTAAAAAGTGGGAAAAAGAAACAGGAACAGGCCCTTCTCAAAAGAAAACAAACAAGTGGCTATCAAACATGAAAAAAATGCTCCGCATCACTAATCAAAGAAATTAAAATCAAAACCACAATGAGATACAATCACCACCATGCAGAATAACTGTTATTAAAAAGTTCAAAAATAACAGATGCTGGTGAGATTGTGAAGAAAAGAGAATGCTTATACACTGTTGGTGGGAATGTAAATTCGTTCAGCTGCTGTGGAGAGCAGTTGGAGATTTCTCAAATAACTTCAAACAGTTACCATTTTCCAGCAACCCTAATGCTGGTTGTATATACTTGGTATATATCCAAAAGAAAAATAAATCTTTATACCAGAAAGACATACACTCTCATTTTCATCGCAGCACTTTTCACAATAGCAAAAACATGGAATCAACCTAGATGCCTCTCAATGGTGGATTGGATAAAGAAAATGTGGTACACATACATCATTGGAACACTATGCAACCATAGTAAAGAATGAAATTGTGTCCTTTTGCAGCAACATGGATGCATCTGGAGGTCATTATCCTAAATGATTTAATGCAGAAACAGAAAACCATATACCATATATTCTTACTTATAAGTGGGTACTTATACTGGGTACTCATGGACATAATGATGCAACAGTAGTTTCTGGGGGCTACCAGAGGGAGAAGGAAGGAGGGGATAAGGGTTTAAAAACAAACTCTTGCATACTATGCTTAGTACCTCAGTGATGGGACTATTTTTACCCAAAACCTCAGCATCATGCAGTATACCCTGGTAACAAACCTGAACATGCACCCCCTGAATCTAAAATAAAAGTTTAAAAAAGTCTGTTTGGTGATAAAACAAAACAAAACAAAACAAACAGGGAAAGGTAGTAAGAAAGTAGATGATTCCCACCTACTATTTTTATTGCGGAAAATCATATTTTCAGGTTTCTATCAATAAGTTTATCACATGACAACCTATTATATAATTCTGTTTCTTAAGCTTTTAATATCAAATCTGCATGCTTCTCCCAACCTAAACCTCCTTTACAAAATATCAGTGAAGTGGGGTTCAACTCAACATGATTAGCCAGTTGACTTCATTATCCTATATTGCCTTACCAAAATCAATAATGCCAGTGCTTTTCTTTCCTGTCCACAAGTCTCGATTTCCTATTATTAAGACTTTAATATTTAATAATAAATTGTTATTAATAATTAATATTCAATTAGTGTTTAATATTAAATTGGTAATATTTAATTATTTAATATTAAAGTAATTATTTAATGTTTAAATTAATAGTAAATTACTAGTTAATATTAAAAATTAATTTCTATTTTTTCTGTTATTTATTTCTACTCGTTCTGTTTTTAATAATTTCAACTTTCATTTTAGATTCAAGAGTTACATGTGCAGATTTGTTACCTGGGTATATTGCATCATGCTGAGGTTTGGCATATGAATGATTCCATCACCCAGATAGTGAGCACAGTACCCAATAGTTAGTTTTTCAATCCTTAACACCCCCTTTTCCCATCCACTTTAAAAGTTACCCAGTGTCTATTATTGCCATCATTATGTCCACGAGTACCCAATGTTTTTCACTTATAAGTGAGAATATGCAGTATTTGTTTTTCTGTTTCTGCATTAATTCGTTTAGGATAATGGCCTCCAGCAGTATCCATTTTCTGGAAAGGACATGATTTTGTTCTTTTTGTGGCTGCATGGTATTCTGTGGTACATATGTACCACATTTTCTTTATCCAATCTACCGTTAATGGGCACCTCGGTTAATTACATGTCATTGCCATTATGAATAGTGCTGCAATGAACATATGAGTGCATGTGTCTTTTTGGTAGAAAGATTTGTCTTTTTATGGATATATGTCAAGTATGTATACCCAGTAACAGGGTTGCTGGAAAACAGCAACTGTTTTAAGTTCCTTGGGAAATCTCCAAACTTCTCTCCATAGTGGCTGAACTAAATTACATTCCCACCAATAGTGTATAAGCATTCCCTTTTTTTCATATCCTCACCAGCATCTGTTGTTTTTGACTTTTTAATAAGAGTGATTCTGATTGGTGTGAGATCATATCTCTTTGTGGTTTTTATTTGAATTTCTTTGATGATAAGTGATGTGGAGCATTTTTTTCATGTTTATTTGCAGCTTGTTTGTCTTCTTTAGAGAAGTGTCTGTTCATGTCTTTTGCCCACTTTTTAATATGGTTATTTGTTTTTTGTTGGTTTAATTGTTTAAGTTTCTTATAGAACCTGGGTATTAGACGTTTGTTGGATGCATAGTTTGCAAATATTTTCTCCCATTCTGTAAGGTGTCTGTTTACTCTGTTTGATAGTTTCTTTTGCTGTGCAGATGCTCTTTAATTAGGTTCCACTTGTCTACTTTTGTTTTTGTTGCAATTGCTTTTTGGAACTTAGACAAAAATTCTTTACCAAAGCTGATGTCAAGAAGGGCATTTACATTATTTTCTTCTAGGATTTTTATAGTTTGAGGTACTACATTATTTAATCCATCTTGAGTTAATTTCTGTATATGGTAAAAGGTAGGGGTCCAGTTTCATTCTTCTGCATCTGGCTAGCTAGGTATCCCAGCAACATTTATTGAATAGGGAGTCCTTTCCCCATTGTTTATTTTTGTTGACTTTGTCAAAGATCAGATGGCTGTAGACTTGTGGCTTTATTTCTGAATTCTCTATTCTTTGCCATTGGTCTATGTACCTGTTTTTGTACCAGTACCATGCTTTTTTGGTTACTATAGCCTTATAGTACAGTCATCGGGTAATGTGATGCCTCCAGATTTATTCTTTTGGTTAAAATTGCTCTGGCTATTCAGGCCCTTTTTTGGTTTCATATGCAGTTTAGAATTTTAAAAATTCTAATTCCCTGAAAAATGGCATTGGCCATTTGATAGGAGTAACATTGAATCTGTATTGTTTGGGCAATATGGTCATTTTAACAGTATTAATTCTTCCAATTCATGAGCACGGAATATTTTTCCATTTGTTTCTGTCATCTTTGATTTTTTTCCACAGTGTTTTGTAGTTCTTCTTGCAGAAATCTTTCACCTCCTTGGTTAGATGTATTACTAGGTATTTTATTTTTTTTGTTGACTATTGGAAATAGGATTGCATTATTGATTTGTCTCTCAGCTTTAATGTTATTGGTATACAGAAATGCTACTGATTTCTGTACATTGATTTTATATCTCGAAACTTTACTGAAGTTGTTTACTATCAGTTGCAGGAGCCTCTTGGTGGAATCTTTAGGATCTTCTAGGTAGATAATCATATTGTCAGTTAAGAGGGATAGTTTGACTTATTATTTTTTTATTTTGAAGCCTTCTCTTTTTTTCTACTGTCTGATTCCTCTGGCAAGGACTTTGAGTACTCTGTGGAATAGGAGTGATGAGAGTGGGCATCCTTGTCTTGTTCCAGTTCTCAAGGGGAATGTTCCAGCTTTTGCCGGTTCAGTATTATGTTGGCTCTGGGTTGGTCATAGATGGCTGTACTATTCTGAAGTATGTTCCTTCAATGCCTAGTTTGTACAGGGATTTTATCATGAAGGAATGCTGGATTTTTTCGAAGGCTTTTTCGACTTCTGTTGATATGATCATATGGTTTTTGTTCTTAATTCTGTTTTTATGTTGAATTGTATTTATTGATTCGCATACGTTGAACAAACCTTGCATCCCAGGAATGAAGCCTTCTTGGTTGTTTTGAATTAATTTTTTAATGTACTGTGGAATTCAGTTTGCAAGTATTCTGTTGAGAATTTTTGCATCTATGTACATCTGGAATATTGGCCTATAGTTTTCTTTTTTCACTGTATCTTTGCAATGTTTTGGTATCTGAATTATGCTGGTTTTGTCGAATGAGTTAGAGAGAGGTTCCTTCTCCTCAGTTTTTTGGGAATGGTTACAGTGGAATTGGTACCAACTCTTCTTTGTAGGTATAGTAGAACTTGGCTGTGAATCCATCTGCTCTGGGGCTTTGTTTGGTTGGTAGATTTTTTATTACTGATTCAATTTCAGAACTTGATATTGTTCTGTTCAGGATTTCAGTTTCTTGCTGATTCAATGTTGGGAGGTTCTGCGTTTCTATAAATTTATCAATTTCCTCTAGATTTTCTAGTTTGTGAGCTTCAAGGTGTTCGTAATAGTCTCTGAGGATCTTTTGTATTTCCGTGGGATCAGTTGTAATACCACCTTTGTTGTTTCTCATTGTACTTTTTGGCTCTTCTCTCCTTTAGTCTTTGTTTATGTAGCTAGTGGTCTAGTGATCTTGTTGATCCTTCCAAAGAACTAACTTTTGGGTTTGTTCATTGTTTTTATGGATTTTTTTCTCTCAATTTCATTCAATTCCACTCAGATTTTAGTTATATCTTCTGCTAGCTTTGGGGTTAGTTGATATTTGTTCTTCTAGTTCCTCTAGGTGTGATATTAGATTGCTAACTAGTGATCTTTCTAAATTTCTGAGGTATGCATTTAGCACTAATAGCTAATTTTTAAGAGCCCTACTTGAATTCTATTCCCAGAAGTGAGTTTTTAAAACTCTTAATGAAAAAGAAGCATCTCTATTTTAATCCCTACCAAACCTGGGGAGCAATCTTGGAGTTTAAAAATCCTTGAGATATTTTATACATTCAATTATATTGCATATTAATATAGAACAACTATTTACCCTATGTTACATACGAATATAGAGTATATGACTATTTACCCATATATATAAAGTACCATTTCTTGAATGCATTAAAAATGTAGGAAATCTAAAAAAGGGATTAAAAAGCTCTGCTGAGCACCAGTGTCCCCAAAACATTCCTAAGAATGCTGATTGCGGTATGTGTGTGTGAGTGTGTGTGTGAGTGTGTGTGTGTGTGTGTGTGTGTGTAGTGAGAGAGAGAGACAGTTCTCAGTTCTTGGATACAACCTATTCATAGACATTTACAGACATGCATTTAGAAACTACTATTCAAGGACATATACATAAGTGACACACAAAAAAATCAATCATTTCATTCTAGATGTATGTTGATATTTAGAAAAAAACAAATGTGATACTTCTAAAATAAATTTATTTATAGTTAAACATACATATATGAGACAGGATTTTTAAATATATTATTAATCTAACATGGACTGTCTTTATACAGAATAGAATCTTTATTTTTTTTTCACTTGGATGAATGAAAATGGAAAGTGAAAATTAAGTGAAAGCAATCTCAATAACAATTGGCTCCTCTGTCTTTCTGTGTCCTTTCCCTTTCTGCTTTTCTCACGTGTCCTCCAAATGAAGATTATAGAGTGCTAGAAATGAGAGTAAATGAGAGACTATGTAGATTTCAGCACCAGCTAAGTGAATGTTGTGTTTTGCATGTTACTCATAATTTCTCCCATCTATGGAGAAATGAATTTTTTTCCTATAGTGTTTAGCAGTAATATTTTCTCTTTATTTATCATTAACATGCTTTTACAATTAATAAGCTGTTATAGACCTCCTGTCAGTATTTGGGAGCTATCGTGTAACAGAGAGCTGTTATTTAATTGACTATATTGTCATTAAAACAAAAAAAAATCAATAAGAAAGGAAACTGTTCTAATAGGCAAAATACAGAAAGAAGATAGTCTCAAACAAATATGATCATTGTCCATCGATGCTTTCTGTATAAGAAAGGAAAGATGCTGCCATCAAAAGCTAAGTAAGTCAAGCACCTCTTCTTAGACTTGGTTCCCCCTGCTTTTAAACAGATGAATTAGGCTATCTAATAATGCCAGTAAGCATTACAATCCTACAATATACTTCCTTATTTTAATTTTCATACTTACCAAGCAACTCTTCGATGGCTTACCGTTTGGTTTACCATTGTATGCAGGGAAAGAATGCTTTGCTATGGACAGTTCTCTTAGCATTTATTTGTATATCTCATTTTATATATTCATTTTCAGTCTGACGAGCAGTTATTTGAATCAGAGTAATAGAGCAAATCTCAGCAAGCTGACACATCAAACTCTGAACTGAGAAGTTTAAATGTTTTCATATCAATGATTCTTATCTTGAACAAAATCTCTGAGATTTTGATTCAACTGAGGTAAAAACAGTGTAAATTTTTATAGCAAGCACCCCAGGTATTTGTGCTACACGTTGTCTGAAGCCACCTTTAGAGAAACTCTTCTAGTTATAACCTAAAATAAAGCTTTTTTGGGGGATATTCAGCCAGCCTTCCTTAGATGAAACTGTAGTTGCTTCCATCTCCAATCTTATAAAACACCCACTCAATAATCTTGGTGAACTGACTTTCTGATTGATATTTCTAGTGTTACAGTGTATCTTAGGAAAATATATTTATGACTACAACAGAAAAAGGAATAGTTGATTTTTCTACTTGTCATAATCAAAAACATTGAATTTCTTTTCTACCTCCAACATGTTTCAGAAGACTGTGAAGAATGAATAATTAACACGGATGATCTATATGAATATAAAAAGTGTCAAATGCTCCATCTTTTGACTAAATAATAGTAATTATAGAAACACATTTATTTTATATAAATATTTTTATTTTAATGATGTATATACCTTCTATTTTATAAGTTTTATAATTTAATATGTGTGTGTGTGTGTGTGCGTGTGTAAATATATGCTGCAACTATATCGATCTGGTTGCAGTATTTGTCTTCTACTGATGAATAGATTTGACTGCGTGATTTGGAGTCTGGATATGTATACCATTCATTTATTGCTTCATGAAAAATGCTACAGAAGTTCCAAAGATGAGCTTCCTAGACAGAACAGGTTCAAGAGTGTATGAGTTACCATGAAATTATATAAAATAAAATTTAATAAGATTACTAAGGATGAAATGATAGTGTGTTTCACATGAAATCGTATCCAGATAAAGCTGTGTTCTAAACTATAATGCTAGTAAACAGCAGTGAGATAAAATGAGAATTGCTCTGGTTTAAAAGAGTTCTGGTAATTCTGTAAAACTGTGGGGGTGTCTTATTCTTTCTGGGTCTCATTGTTCTCCTCTGTAAACATGCAAAGTTTAAAGTATATGATTTCTCAAGAGCCATTGTAGCTCAGATAGGCCATAAATCTTTGATCATTTTGTACTATGCTTATGTTTTGCTCAGCACTACTGAAATGCATATCTTAGTTTCATCCTGAATCAGGAGGTCTATCTGTATCCATTATGCCTTTGTTTTAGGTTGGGGTGTACATAATTATAAAATCAAAGATTGACAGATGATTGTTCTACTTTTAAAGTCACATGTTATTAACACAAACGAGTATTTCAGAAAATGAAAAAAGAATCCCATCAACTATGTTTATTTCCATCTGTGTTCACAGGAAGTTCAACACAATTGCCAGCTTCATAGAATATCTTTTTGTGCAGATGATAAAACTGACAAGAGGATATTCACTTTCATATGCAAAGATTCTGAGTCAAATAAACATTTGTGCTATGTATTTGACAGCGAAAAGTGTGTAAGTATCCCAGATGTTGTAGGGTGGTTTGTTCTGTTTTATAAGCCAGGAATTGTCTTGCTTCTGGCATTGGCAAAGTATTTGAAAATGAATAATTTTCTGTAAATTATTCTGTAAAAAGTCTGTAAATACTTAGCTGTACTAATAGATTTATTTTGTCATGAGAATATGCTTCAGGATTTCATCTGTAACTAAATTCTCATGGTCATGAGCATAAACTTACATGTAAATTTCTTTTATTAGAATGCCATGCCTGCTTATGTTATGCATGTATTTTATAATAATTTAATCTATTTTACAATTTTAAACTCAAATATGATTTAGTATTATGCACATAATACAAACAGTAGTGGTGAGCAAACGTGTGTTTCCCCCACATGTGCAGAATATGATGGATTTTATGAAAATAAATATTCTTAACTCCAGGAAATATGATCTATATGGTTCCTTAAAAGATTTTCCAATACACTGAAAATTTAGTTCCTTATGTTCATTGTATAAAAATCTTAGGCCAGGCGCGGTGGCTCACGCCTGTAATCCCAGCACTTCGGGAGGCCGAGGCGGGCAGATCATGAGGTGAAGAGATCGAGACCATCCTGACCAAAATGGTGAAACTCTGTCTCTACTAAAAATACAAAAATTAGCTGGGTGTGGTGGTGTGTGCCAGTGGTCCCAGCTACTAGGGAGGCTGAGGCAGGAAATCACTTGAACCTGGGAGGCAGAGGTTGCAGTGAGCCAAGATCGCGCCACTGAATTCCAGCCTGGCGGCAGAGTGAGACTCCATCTCAAGAGAAAAAAAAAAAACAACTTAAAATAATGAAAGTTAATGGAATTGTATGTATGAAATTCTATGTTAAATCCTGTAGCAGTTCTTTAATCATCTGGAATCTTAAGGAAAACCCACTGGTGGCTGCAATAAAGGAAAAACATGTAACCTCAACAATTTTATTGGTTTAGATAGGAAATAAAACAATTCATCTGTTTGCTAATTTTTGCTGCTGTCAAAAATAACAGATAGCTAATATTATTATCACTGTTATGTCATTTGTTTATCTAGTTTCAGTATTGAGCTTCTTGAGAACAAATACCTTTTTATTTGTTCATGTGACTCCTACATCAAGTGGACAATAGGTGCTCAATGAAACATTCCTTAAGAAAAAGATCACATTGAAAAGTTACAAAAAATAGAGCAAGTTTTTATTTTTATTTTTTAAACTGTAGTTCTCTAGAAAGGAAAGCTAATGTGCTAAGCTACTAGATATCATAATACCTTTTGTGAATTTTGTGCACATTATGGAACATTTCATCAGAAAAAAGATGCTTAGCAATATAAGACAATATTTTGTGCACAATAAGACATTTTATATAGCTCAAATTGATTTTGAATTTTATTTTATATGAACTTCTGATGAATGAATAAATAAAATTTACATATTTCAAGTGTTTTTTAACCATGATTGCTTGCAGATTCTTTTCTCTATGACTGAGAAGATTAAAGTTGATATTTGTTGAATATCTTCTACACATAATTTATAATAACCTTTTACCACCTACATAAAGCAGTAAACTCAGTTATTCTTCTTTCCTGCCTTACCCATAGAAATAAATTTCCTTAAGGTCCTTTGAAATGTTTCAGAGTCAGAGTTCATTCTAAATATTGGCCTTCTTATAGATTTGTGCCATTTGTTTTATATTCTTTGATCCCTATCCAAATTTGTTAAATTAATATTTAAAATATAAGTTTGCCACCTTAAAAGCATAGACCCCATTTCTTTTTGATCATAACTGTCTGTAATTGATTGTTCTCCTTGGATATAGCGTATCAACTATTTTCTCTTGTTGTGCGCATGTACCCTAAAACTTAAAGTATAATTAAAAAAATAAATAAAAAAAGATTGAAAATAATTTCTTGAAGCCTAAGCAGTGGTTCACAATCATTAATGTACATAAAAATCATACAGGATGCCTTTTAAAAGCTATTATCAATTGGGGCTGGAGCTCAGGAAATCTATATTTATCAAGTATACCAAGTGATTCTGCTGCAGGTAGAGGAAGTCTTGGCTTTGAGAAGTTCCCAGATACCTCCCAACTATAAGTTGGCATCACCTTCCTGTGCTGAAAAAGGACGTTTCCTCAAAATTTTGTTATACCTGCACTATCTTAACTATGAGGTTTTATCAGTGCTAATTATAATGATGACTATATTTATAACACTGATATTATATGTATGCAGAATTTTTGATATGCCATCTTATGTAATTCTCATTTTAAATAGTTTAGCATAGAGTGTTAAAATGGGAAATAAGTTATGGCCTATCTCATACAACTCTCCTCCTATTTTAAAAAACCAAGACCAGAGATGTTGAAGTAAGTTTCCCAAAGTTACAAAGCTAAGTAGTCAGTAGAATCAGGACTAAAATCTAAGACTCATAATTCTTATTGCTACATTTATCTCATCATGCTATATTACTCCCATAACTGTGGCCTCCTCTAGAGTTCATCTGCTCTTATTGGGGACTTTATCTGTTCATTGTATTTTATCTTTTTAGTACTTCTTTGAAATTGAGATTTTGAAAGATGAAACCTTTTTTAGTAAGGCACAAGACTGGAATTCACTACTTTATTAACAGTATCATGTTGTATTAATAGTCCTCCTTCTTCCATGGTGACAGTGAGGACCATTCAACCCTGCCAAATTAGAATGCTGAATGACAACATTTAACCCTGCCAAATTAGAATGCTGAGCTTCTATACTTACCAGGCAATAAGGGGGCAGTGCATTTCCACCCTCACTCTCCTACTGGAATTGCATCTGATGAAGCCACCTAAAGCAGAAAATTTAAATAATTTCCAGTATTTCATAAAATGAAAATCACTCTTCATACCAAGAGACAGGTTTCTTAAACTAAAAAGGAAATGACAGTCAGTAGTTACCAACACATAGATGTCAGAGATATTATAATTATAGGACAAAGGTTTTAGAACAGCCATCATATAACACAATAAAATGAGCAGTTACAAACACACATGAAACAGATGAGAATGTAGAAAATCTTATCAAACAGAAAATCTAAGCAAAGAAACAGAAGATATAGCATTAGGAGATATACCTAATGCTAAATGACGAGTTAATGGGTGCAGCACAACAATATGGCACATGTATACATATGTAACAAACGTGCATGTTGTGCATAAGTACCCTAAAACTTAAAGTATTATTATAATAATAATAATAATACTAAAAGAATACTGAAAAATAAAGTAATGACATGAAAGACTTAGTGTATGGACTCAACAGCAGAATAGAGAGGTCAAAGGAAAAGAATCAATGACCTGGAAGACTGACAAATAGAAAATACCCAATCTGAACAAGACAAAGATTATAGACTCAATAAACCAACAAAACAGAACCTCATGGACTGTGGGACCGTAACAAAATATCTAACATTTGTGTGTCATCTGAGTCCTGGAAAAAGAGAATAAGCACCCTTAAAAAACACTCCAAGAATATTAGTTGAAAACTTTCCCGATTTGACAAAGGACATCAACCTATAGATCTAAAATACTGAGTGATCTCCAAACAGGATTAATCCAAGTAACTCC
Organism: Homo sapiens; assembly: GCF_000001405.40. NCBI lineage: Eukaryota > Metazoa > Chordata > Mammalia > Primates > Hominidae > Homo > Homo sapiens. The sequence goes on from NC_000002.12 coordinate 188,544,922, forward strand.
ATACCAAGACACATCATATTCAAGCTTCTGAAAACTAAAGACAAAAGAAAAATCTTGAAAGCAGCATGAGATAAGCAAGTACTTACCTATAGCAGAGAATGTGAATGGCAGTGTATTTCTCACCAGAAACCATGAAGGCAAGAAGGAAGTTGCATAATACTTTTTGAGTAATGGAAAAAACAAAAGCCTGTCAAATGATCCTATATCCAGAAACATATTCTTCAGAAATTGGAAAGAAATTTTAAAAAATTATTAGATGAATGAAAATTAAGATTGTTTGCCACTACTAGATATCCTAAATGAATGGCTAAAGGAAGTTCTCTAAATGGAAAGGAAACAATACAAAATGGGAACTTGGAGTATAAGGAAGGAAAAAAAAAACAAGATGAGCAAACATATGAGTAAATCTTTAGTTTTCTAAATTGTGTTTGATAGTAGAAGAAAAAATACTTTCTGATGTGATTTTAAATCTGATGTGATTTCATATATGGACATGAAATATGTAAGCCAATTATATTAAACTAGGAAAGTTAAGAGGATGTAAAAAGGGAGGTGAGGTTTCTACACCTCACATGAACTGGAAAAATAATAGCGCTGGGTAACTATGATAAGTTATATAGATAAAATGTGAATCCAATAACAACCATTAACACGTTGTATAATGAGATACACTTAAAAGCACTATAGAGAAATTAAAATGTTATCGTTTTAAAAGCCCATAGAGATGCAATGAAAAGAAAACAGAGAAAGAAAAAAGATAGGTAACAGAAAAGAAAAAGATTAAATAATGTACTTAAGCCCTAACATATCAAAAATCACATTAAATGTAAATGGTCTAACTACACCAGTTAAAATATGTTGTTAAGGTGGATTACAAAACATAATCCAGATACATATCATCTACAAGATGTTCATTGCAAACATAATGGTATAGGTGATATAGGCAGGCTAAAAATGAAAGAATGAAAAGAGAGTTTTCATGCAACCATTATTCAGAGAAAGCAGTAGTAACTATATTTACATCAGATAAAGTAGACCTCAAGGCAAAGAAAATTACCAGAGACAGAGGAGGGGCATATAGTGATAAAAGGGACCAGTTCCCAAGAAGATATGGTAATCCTAACTGTGTATTACCAAAAAATAGAGCTGCAAAATGAGAAACAAAAACAGATAGAACTAAAAGAGTAAATAGACAAATACGCAATTATAGTCGAAATTTTACTGGCACTTTCCCTCAAATTTATAGAATAATTAGAAAATCATCAAGGATATAGAATTACTCAACATCATCAACCAGTGGGATCTAATGAGCAGTTACAGAGAACCTCACCCAACAACAACAGAATGTACATTATTTTCAAGTGTTTGAGGAAGATGTACCAAATTAAGTCACATCCTGGACCATAAAATAAATCTTGAAAATTTAAAAGAATTAAAATTATTTAACGTTTCTCTGACTATAAGGAAATCAATCTAAAGATCAGTAACAGAAAGCCAGAAAATCTTTAAAAGCTAGGAAATGAAACATCATATTCATAAATATTCCATACATTAAATAGCGATTCACAAATGAATTTTTAATTTTGCGAATTGAATAAAAATGAAGTAGAGCGTATCAACATTTGTGTGATATAACTAAAGCAGTGCTAAGAAAGAAATCTGTAACTAATTTAATACATTAGGAAAGAGGAAAGTCTCAAATGAATAATCTATGTTCCCATCTCAAATACACAGAACAACAAAAATATCAAAATAAACCTCAAAGTAAGCAGACGGAAGATAAGATTAATAAGAGAAGAAATTGGTGAAGTGGAAAATACAGAAAATCAATGAAGCAAAGACCTGATTCTTTAAAAGATTATAAAAGTCACAAATTGTATTAATTTGGCAAAGAACAAAAGAGGGAGAAGACACAAGTTACCAATATTTAGAATGAAAACCAACAGATTTCACTACAGACTCTCTGAATATCAAAAGAATAAGAGGATCCTATAAAGAACTTTACACACACAAATTCAAAAATACAAATAAATTGGATCAATTATTTAGGAACAATATTACCACAAATCACTCATTATTAAATAGATTATTTTAATAGCCTGATAACTATAAAGGAAATTAAATTTATAAATTAAAAGTTATTAAAAGATAAATCTCCAGGTGTAGATGGTTTCACTGGAGAATTCTATAAAATGTTTAAACAGGAATTAATGCTATTCTATACAATCCATTCCAGTGAAAAATAAGAGGGACAGAAACACTTTCTACTTCATTTTGTGAAACTAGTATTTCTCTGATACCAAAACCAGACTTAGACAATGAAAAAAAAAAAAACACTAGAGATCTGAATTCCTCAGGAACATAAATGTAAAAATTCCTAAGGAAATATAACCCAGTAATGCATTATATTAGTCAGGGTTCTCTAGATGGATAGAGCTAATATATATATTGGAAGTTTATTAAGGAGTATTAAACTCACACAATCACAAGGTCCCACAATAGGCCCATCTGCAAGCTGAGGAGCAAGGAAGCCAGTCATAGTCCCAAAGCTGAAAAACTTGAAGTCCAATCTTCAAGGGCAGGAAGCATCCAGCACAGGAGAAAGATGTAGGCTGGGAGGTTAAGCCAGTCTAGCCTTTTCATGTTTTTCTGCCTGCTTTATATTCTGGCTGCACCAGCAGCTGATTAAATGGTGCCCATCCAGATTAAAGGTGGGTCTGCCTTTTCCAGCCCACTGACTCAAATGTTAATCTCCTTTGGCAACACCCTCACAGACACACACAGGATCAATACTTTGCATCCTTCAATCCAATAAAGTTGACGCTCAGTAATAACCATCACATGCATTAAAAGAATTATATGCAAAGGTTAAGAGTAGTTTGTCCCAAGGATGCACATTTTGCTCAACATTCAAAAATCCAATGATATAATCAACCACATGGAAAATCTAAAGAAGAAACGTGATAATACCAGTCAGTGCTTTAAAAATAACTTTAAAAGAGAATGAACACACACTCATTGTTTAAAACTCTCAGAAAAATAGGAATGGAAAGAACTTCCTCAATTTGATAAAGAGCATCTAAGCAAAATACAGATATTTTACTTTATGGTAAAAAAAAGTATGCTTTCCTCCTAAGACATGGAACTAAGCAAAACTTTTCACTCTCTTGGCTCATATGAAACACAGCCATAGAAGCTCTAGCCATTGCAGCAAGACAAAAAAGCATATAATAAATTTGCAGATTGTAAATAAAGAAATAAAACTGTGCTTATATGCAGATGGCATGATTGTCTAAGTAGAAAATTTTGAGTCTAAAACAATTTCTGGATTTAATAAATGAGTTTAGCCAGGTGGCAGAATACATAATTAACATACATGGATCAATTGTATTGCTGTATACTAGTAGTGAACATATGGATACAGAAATTTACAATTGCTAAAAGAAGTGGAATACATAGGTATAAGTCTAAACTAAGAAGTGAAATTTGTATGCTGAAAATTCATGTGCAACAAATTGCTGACAAAAGAAATGATAGAATCTACAAATAAATGGAGAGATACTATTTTCAGTTCTTCATACTGATGTATAGATTTAACACAATTCCTGTCAAAATTATAGCAAGGTTGTTTGTAGATATAGACAAGACAAGATTATTCTAAACTTTATATGGAAAAGCAGAGGAACTGGAATCACTAAAACAATTTCAAAAAAAGAGCAGTGAAGTGAAAGTAATTCATCTACCCTGTTTCAAGACTTATTAGATACCTTTACTAATGAAGACTTTAGTTTTGGTGGAGGGAAAGACAATAGGTCAATGGAAGAGTGAACATATAAATTAACACACAGAAATATGCCCAGCTAATGTTTGTCAATGCTGCAAAAGCAGTGCAATAGGGGAAAGAAGGTTTTGTTTTGTTTTGTTTTGTTTTGTTTTGTTTTATTTTGTTTTCAGACAGTGCTGGTGCAATTGGACTTTCATAGGCAAATAAAATGCACCTTGACCTAAACCTCACACTCTATCTAAAAATTAACTGAAAATTCATCATGGACTTAGATATAAAAATACAACTATAAAACATTTAGAAAAAAAACACATGGGAAATCTTCAGGATGTAGGGCTAGGAAAAGAGTTCTTAGAATTGACATCCATAGCAGGATTTAAAATGGGGGAAAATGATATACTGAACTTTTGAAAACATTTTTCTATGTATAAGTGCTTTGTTCCATGTCTTAGGAAAGCATTCTTTTTTTATCATAAAGTAAAATATCTGTATTTTGTTTAGATGCTCCTTATCAAATTAGGGATGAAAAGACGGGGAGAAAGTATTAGCAAACCACATATCAGACAAATAACTAGTAAAAAATCATTCAACACTCAACAATATGAAAACAATGAAATTAGAACATGAACAAAAGACAACAAGATGCATTTCATTGAAGAGGATATACAGATGGAAAGTAAGCACGTGAAAAGATGTCAAACATTGGTGTCCATTAGGGAAATGCAAATTAAAATCAAAATAAGATATTACTACAGAATTATCAGACAGGCTACAATAAAATCACCAAATGCTGGTAAGAATGGGGAAAAAGTACATCATTCACACATAGCTGATGGAGATATAAAATGGTATGGCCATTCAGGAAAAACAGTTTGGCAGTTTTATAAGAAACTGAACATGCAGCTGTCCTATGAAATACTTGGACATTTATCCCAGAGAAATCAAAACTTAAAATGTTCACACAAAAACCTATACACAAATATTTATAGAAGCTTATTCATAATAGCCGAAAACTACAATCCATCCAGAAAATGTGTGAAGGGACATTACTTAGCAATAAAAAGGCATGAACTATTAGACACACAACAATGTGGATGACTCTCCAGAGATTAAGGAATGCAAAAAGTCTATCTCAAAAGCCTGTGTACTCTATGATTCCATTTCTATAACATTCTTAAAATAGCAAAATTAAGGAAATGGAGAACAATTAGTGATTGCCAGAGGTTAAGGAGATGGTGAGGGCAGGCTAGAAGAGGATGTGCTTATAAAACAGCAAGATGAAGGACTCTTGTCGTAATCAAATTATTCTGTATTCTGACTATATTATGAATATCCTGATTGCAATTGGTACTATAGTTTTGCAATATATTATCATTAGAATAACCTGGACAAAGGATACACAAGATCTCTCTGTATTATTTCTCACAGCTGAGTGTAAATCTAAATTATCTGAAAATAAAGTTTACTTTAAATATCTGAAAAATAAAGTATGGCCTATTTGGACCAAACCTTTTGTCTTATTTTAAGTAAATGCAGGCCAAAAAGAATTAGTTTCTTTCCTAGAGTGACAAGCTAGATAGAAACAGAATTTGAACTTAGAGGAAGGCTTACCTTAGCATACTACAAAACTAGAACAGAGAATTTATTGTGATATGGTTGATTTTTATTATAAATTAAATATAATTGCTGTCAACTGTTTAACCATTATTTTGATTTTCTTTATTTTTCACAATTTCATTTCCAAATGTTAATAAATATACCTTATTTGCTGAATGCTGCTTTTAATATAATTTAAAGAGTAGCCCCAATAAACAAATGAAATTATCACACACACATTTTTTAATGATGTGAAAGGAACTGTAAAATAAGGCAAAGTTTAAAACTTCATTTTTACATCTTAATTAATTCTCCGTAAAAAGGGTTCATTGTCAAAAGAATCATACATTATTAGTACTAGAAGGAATCACTGCATCCAGTCGTTTTACAAGGTCTGTCTGTGAGAAGGTGTTTACTGCATATTCTTATTATAGCCATATTTCACGTTTGCTTTGTGTTAATAATTTTTGAATCACATTTATCAAAATAAAAAATTAATGTTTTTTTTATTTCATTACATGATTGAGGGAGAGCTAATTTCTTAGATTAGCCATCCAACTTAATGTAATTAGTTTAAAATTAGAATCTGGAAGCTTATTGTTGCTGAGTATTTCCTGCCAATACCAATTTTCATGTCTCCATTTCATGAAATACTATAATTTACATATCAAGTCCCTGAGTTTAAAAACTCTGAAGAATTGGCTTATTATGACAACAAGCAGGAGTGACCAGCTGTAAACTAGAAAACTAATTTTTTAGTTAATTTGTCTGAGGTTCTTTTGTATGTGATTTTTTAAGACAAACTTTCTTTTATTTGAACAAATTTATGGAGTAGATGTGAAACATTGTTACATGGATATAATATGTAGTGATCAAGTCAAGGCATTTAGGGAGGGCATCACCTGAGTACAATACATTTATATTAACTATAGTCACCTTACTCTACTATCAAACATTGAATTTATTCCTTCTCTCTAACTGTATGTTTGTACCCATTAACCCACTTCTCTTCATCCTCCTTTCCCCATTTATTCTTCTCAGGCTCTGTTATCCATCTTTCTACTCTCTACCTCCATGTGATGAAATACTTTGCTTTCACATGTAAATAAGAGCATGCAATATTTGTCTTTTTGTGCCTTATTTATTTCACTTAAGATAATGACCTCCAGTTCCATCCATGTTGCTGCAAATGATATGATATCATTACTTTTATGGCCAAATAATATTTCATTATGCATATATACACCACATTTTCTTCATCCATTTATCCATTGGCGGACATTTAGGTTGATTCCATATGTTTGCTATTGTGAATAGTGCTGAAATAAACATCTCAGTGCAGGAATCCCTTTGATATATTGATTTCTTTTCATTTGGATGGATACCCAGTAGTGGAGCTGCTAGATCAAATGATAAGTATATTTGCAGGTTTTTTTTTGAAATCTTCATACTGTTTTCCGTAGTAGCTTTAGTAGTTTACATTTCCACCAATAGTGCATAAAAGTTCCTTTTTCTCCACATCCTCGCCAACCTCTGTTATCTTTTGTCTTTTTGACAATAGCCATTCTGACTGGGTTAAGATGATAACATTGTGGTTTTGGTTTGCATTCTGTGATGATTATAATATTGAGCATGTTTTAATATACTTGCTGGCTGAATGTGTGTCTTCCTCCGGGAAATGTCTATTCATGTTCTTTCCCATTTTTTTTTAAATGGGAACATTTTTTTTTTCTAAGTTGTTTGAGTTCCTTGTATATTCTGGAAGTTAGTCCTCTGTCAGATGAATAATCCGAAAATATTTTCTCCAATTCAAAAGTTGTTTCTTCATTCTGTTGATTATTTATTTTTCTGTGTAGATGCTTTTTAGTGTAATTAAGTACCATTTGTCCATTTTTGTTTGTGTTGCCAGTACTTTTGAGATCTTAGTCATAAATTCTCTGCCTAGCCCAATGTTCAGTAGTTTTCCTTAGATTTTCTTTTAATATTTTTACAGTTCCAGATATTACATTTAAGTTTTTAGGCCACTTTGAGTTGATTTTTATATATGGTGATAGGGGTCCAGTTTCATTCTATTCAATTCAATTTTCCCAGCACCATTAATTGAAGAGGATGTTCTTTCTCCAGTGTAACTTCTTTTTGGCTTTGTCAAACCTCAGTTGACTGTAAATAAGTGGTTTTATTTCTGAGTTCTTTATTCTATTCCATTATTCTGTGTGTCTGTTTTTATACCAATACCATACTGCTTTGGTTACTGTTACCTTGTATATTTTGAAGTCGGGTAATGTGATGCCTCCAGCTTGGCTCTTTTTGCTCAGAATTGCTTTAAGTTTGCCGTTTCTTATTCTGTGATGAATGATGTCAGTATTTTGATAGGCATTGCATTGAATCTACAGGTTGCTTTGGATGGTAGTCATTTAAATGATATTATTTCTTATGATCCATGAATATAGGATATTTTTCTATTTGTTTGTGTCATTGACTATTTCTTTTATCAGTCAATAAATAGTTCTCTCCTTATAGAGAACTTTTACCTCCTTGGTTAAATTTATTCATATATATATATATTTATTCCTATATATGTATATACATATATGTGTTTATCTCTCTCTATATATATACGTATATATATGCATGTGTATACTTATTGCGCTATTGTAAATGAGATTGCCTTCTTGCTTTCCTTCTCAGCTACATCATTGGTATACAGAAATGCTCCTGATTTTTGTACATTAATTTTGAATCCTCCATCTTACTAAATTCATTTATCAAATCTAAGAGTTTTTTTATGGAGCAATTAGGTTTTTCTAGATATAAGATCATATCAGCAAAGAGGGATAATTTGACTTCCTGTTTTCCAATTTGGATGCTTTTATTTCTTTCTTGTTTGATTGCCCTGGGTGGACTTCCAGTACCGTGTTGAATAGGAGTGATGAAGGTGGGCATTCTTGTCTTGTTCCAGTTCGTAGAGGAAAGGCTTTCAACATTTCTTCCTTCAGTGTGACATTAAGTGTGGATTTGTTATTTTATGGTATGTTTCTTCTGTGCCTGGTTTGTTGAGAGATTGTTATCATGAAGGAATGTTGAACTTTATCAAATTCTTTTTCTGTGTCTATTGAGATGATTATTTTTTGTCCTTCATTCCATTAATTTGAGTTACCACCTTTACTGATTTGTATATGTTGAACCATCCACGCATCTCTGGTATAAATCCCACTCAATCATGGTGTATTATATTTTTGTGTGCTGTTGAGTTAACTAGCATTTTGTGGAGCATTTTGTGTCTATGTTCATCAGGAATATTGACCAGTAGTTTTGTTTTTGTTGTTGTTGTATCCTTATCTGGTTTTGTTATCAAGGTGATCTTGGCCTTATAGAATGAGTTAAGAAGAACCCTGTTCTTCAATGTTTTGGAATAGTTTCAGGATTGGTATTAGTTATTTGCATATTTGGTAGAATTTTATTGTGAATCCATCTAGTCCCGAGCTTTTCTTTGTTGAGACAGTTTTTATTACTGATTCAATATTGCTACTCATATTGGCCTGCCAGGTTTTCTATTTCTTCCTGATTCACTTTTGTTAGGTTGCATGTTTCCAGAAACTTACCCATTTACTCTAGATTGTTCAGATTGTTCAGTTTGTCAGCATATAGTTTTTATAATAGTCTTTGGGGATCTTTGTATTTCTGTGATCAGTTGTTACATTTCCTTTTTCATTCTGATTTAGTTTATTTAGATATTCTCTCTTCTTGGTTAGTCTACTTAATGATTTCTCAATTTTACTTATTTCAAAGAACCAATTTTTTGTTTGTTTGATCTTGTGTATTTTTTTAGTCTCTATTTCATTTAGTTCTGCTCTGATCTTTTTTATTTATTTTATAATGTTAATTTTGGGTTGGTTTGTTCTTACTTTCCTAGTTCCTTAAGGTATATTGTTAAGTTGTTAACATGTTATCTTTCTACAGGAATTTTTTGATACAGGAATTTATTGCTATAAACGTTCCTCTTAGCACTGCTTTTACTGTGTCTCACAGGTTTTAGTTTATGTTTCCATTTGTTTCAAGAATTTTTTTTTATTTCCATCTTAATTTCTTTGTCAACCCAAAGGTCATTCAGGAGCATGTTGTTTAATTTTCATGTATTTGTATATTTTCCAAAGTTCTTATTAGTATTGATTTATTTTTATTCCATTGTGGTCTGAGGGGATAGTAGAAATTATTATCTTTTTTTTTTTTCTAATTTGTTGAGACTTGTTTTGTGGCCTAATATATGGGCTATACTGGGGAATGTTCTATGTGCTAATGAAAAGAATGTATCTTCTGCAGTTTTTGGATAGAATATTCTATAAATGTGTATTAGGTCAATTTGGTCTGTAGTACAGTTTAAATTTGGAGGTTTTTGTTATCTGTCTAGATGATCTATCTAGTACTGACAATGGGGTTTTGGGCTCCCCCACTATTATTGTATTGCAGTCTATCTCTTTAGATCTAGAAATATTTACTTTATGGATCTTTGTGCTCCAATATTGGGTGCATATATACTTAGATTTTTTAAAATTGTTATATCGTCTCACTGGATATATTCCTTTATCATTATATAATGACCTTTTCCATCTTTTTAGAACTGTTTTTGGCTTAAAGCCTATTTTATCTAAGTACAGCTATTTCTGCTTGCTTTTGGTTTTCATCTGTGTAGAATATCTTTTTCTGTCTCTTTACTTTTAGTCTATATGTGCCTATACTGGTAAGGTGAGTTTCTAGAAGGGAGCATATATTTGGATCATTTAAAAAATCAATTCATTCATACTATATATTTATGTAGAAAACTTAATCCATTTACAGTCAGTGTTATTATTGCTAGGTAAGGCTTTGTTCCTGTCATATTGTTAATTGTTTTCTGGTTGTTTTATATATGACTTTCTTCTGTTATTGTTCATCTTTGTTGTTTTGGTAGATGTCTGTAGTGGTACACTTTGAGTCTTTTATCTTTTTCCCTTGTGTTATTTCTTTACCAATGAGTTTTATACTTTCTTGTGTTTTCCTGATAGTAAATCTTGTCCATTTGTTTCCAGGTTTAAGACTTCCTTGAACAATTCATATAAGACCAGTCTAGTGGTAACAAATTCCCTCAGTATTTACTTGTCTGAGAAAGACTTTATTTCTTCTTCATTTAGAAAGGAGAATATTACTGGATATCATGTTCTTCTTTTTTTCTTTTAGCACTTTGAATATTTTAGCCCATTCTCTTCTAGTCTGTAAATGCTTTTGCTGAGAAATTCATTGTTAGGCTGATACAATTTCCTTTACAGGTGACTAGACGCTTTCCTCTTGCTGTTTTTATAATTCTTTATCTTTGACTTTAGATAGTCTGAGTATAATGTGCGATGGTGACTGCCTTTTCGTTTTGTATCTGCTTAGGGATCATTGATCTTTCAGTAAGTGGATATTTATATCTCCTGCTAGACTTAGAGAGTTTTCATCTAGGCTGGGTGTGGTGGCTTATACCTGTAATCTCAGCACTTTGGAAGGCCAGGAAAGGTGGATAATGAGGTCAGGAGTTTGAGACCAGCCTGGCCAATATGATGAAACCCCATCTCTACTGAAAATCAAAAATTAGCCAGGCATGGTGGCACACACCTGTAATCCCAGCTACTTGGGAGGCTGAGGCAGAAGAATTGCTTGAACCCGGGAGACAGAGGTTGCAGTGAGCTAAGATTGCACCACTGCAGCCCATCCTGGGTGACAGAGTGAGACTCTGTCTCAAAAAAAAAAAAGAAAAAGAAAAAGAAAAAAAAAGAAGGTTTTCATTGACTATTTCATGAAATGGGTTTTCTAATCCTTTTATGCTTTCTTCACCCTTGGGAACACTGATAATTTGAATTTTCAGTAATTTTAAGGTGTCATAAATGTCGTGAAGGCTTTCCTCATTCTTTTCTACTATTTTTATCTTTATATTTGTCCGACTGAATTATTTCAAAAGATCTGTCTTTAAAGATTTGAGATATTTTTTTCTTCCACTTGATCTAGTCTATTATCGAAGATATCATTATGTTACTCCTCAATGAGTCCTTAAGTTCTAGAATTTCTCTTTCGTTCTTCTAAAACATATCTATCTCTTCAGTATTTTTCTCATTCATATACTGATTTGTTTTTCTGATTTCTTTTTATTGTTTTTCAGATTTCTTTTGTATTTCACTGAGCTTCTTTCAAATCAGTATCTTCAATTCTTTATCTGGGATTTTGGGAATTTCTTTTTTATTAAGATCTACTGGAGATCTTAATTTACTGGAGAATTATTATGTTTCTTTCAAGGTGTCATATTTGTTTGATTTTTTTGTTTCCTGTGTCCTTATGTTGATATCTGCACATTTGTATAAAAGTCACTTCTTCCTGTTTTTGAATTTACTTTTTGTGGGGAGGATGTTGCTAAACCACTCATTAGAAATCTACTACCACGTTGCTGGGCACGGTGGCTCACGCCTGTAATCCCAGCACTTTGGGAGGCCGAGGCGGGTGGATCACGAGGTCAGGAGATCGAGACCACGGTGAAACCCCGTCTCTACTAAAAAAGACAAAAAATTAGCCATGTGTGGTGGCGGGTGCCTGTAGTCCCAGCTACTCAGGAGGCTGAGGCAGGAGAATGGTGTGAACCTGGGAGGCGGAGCTTGCAGTGAGCCTAGATCGTGCCACTGCACTCCAGCCTGGGTGACAGAGCAAGACTCTGTCTCAAAAAAAAAAAAAGAAAAGAAATCTACCACCATGTTCCAATCACCTACCACCAGGCTCCATCTCCAACATTGGAGATTACAGTTTGACATGCGATTTGATAGGAACACAGATCCAAAACATATCTTTCTGCCTCTGGTCCCCCAAATCTCATATCCTTTTCACATTGCAAAATACAATCATACCTTTCCAGCAGTCCCCAAAGTCTTAACTTGTTTTGGCATTAACCCCAAAGTCCAAAGTCCAAAATCTCATCTGAGACAAGGGAAGTCCCTTTCACTTATGAGACTGCAAAATCCAAAGCAAGTTAATTAATTCCAACATACAATGGGAGTACAAGTACTGGGTAAACATTCCCATTCCAAAAGGGAGAAATTGGCCAAAAGAAAGGAGATACAGGCCTCACACAATCCCAAAATCCAGCAGGGCAGTCATTACATTTTAAAGCTCCAAAAGAATCTTCTTTGACTCCATGTCCCATATCCAGGGCACACTGGTTTGAGAGGTGGGCTCCCAAGGTCTTGGGCAACTCTGCCCCTGTGGCTTTGCCATTAAGGTTCAGCCCTAATGGCTACTCTCACGTGCTGGCGTTAAGTGCTTGTGGCTTTTCAGGCACAGGGTGCAAACTCTCAGTGGATCCACCATTCTGGGGTCTGGAAAATGGTGGCCCTTTTCTCACAGCTTCACTAGGCAGTCCCCCAATGGGGAGTCTGTGTGGGGTGTCTAATGAGGGCTCCAATCTTGCAGCAAGGCTCGCTTCTTACATTCTGTGTATCTGCAGGCTTAACACCATGTGGAAACTGCCAAAGCTTATGACTTGCACCCTCTGAAGCAGTGACCTGTGCTGTACCTGGGCCTCTTTGAGCCATAGTTGGAAATGGTGTGGCTGGGAAGCAGGGAGTAGTGTTGTGAAGCTGTTCAGGGCAGTGGGGCCATGGGCCTGGCCCATGAAACCATTCTTCCCTCCTAGGAAGCCTGCAATGGGAGGGTATGCTGCAAAGGTCTCTGAAATTACTTCAGGGCCTTTCCCCCATTGTCTTGGCTGTTAGTGCTTGGCTCCTTTTCACTTGTGAAAATTTCTGCAGCCTGCTTGAATTCCTCCCCTGAAAATGGGCTCCTCTTTTCTACCACATGGCCAGTGATACGGTTTGGCTCTGTGTCCCCACCTAAATCTCATCTTGAATTGTACTCCCATAATACCCATATGTTGTGGACGGAACCCAGTGGGAGATCATTTGAATCATGGGGGCAGTTTCCCCCATACTATTCTCATGGTAGTGAATAAGTCTCATGAGATCTGATGGTTTTATCAGGGGTTTCCGCTTTTGCATCTTTCTCATTTTCTCTTGCCACTGCCACGTAAGAAGTGCTTTTCGCCTCCTGCCATGATTCTGAGGCCTCCACAGCCATGGGGAACTGTAAGTCCAATTAAACCTCTTTTTCTTCCCAGTCTCAGGTATGTCTTTATCAGCAGCATGAAAACAGACTAATAGTGTAAATTGGTACCAGTAGAGTGCGGTGTTGCTGAAAACATACCCAAAAATGTGGAAGTGGCTTTGGAACTGGGTAACAGGCAGAGGGTGGAACAGTTTGGAGGGCTCAGAAGAAGACAGGGAAATGTGGGAAAGTTTAGGACTTCCTGGAGACTTGTTGAATGGCTTTGACCAAAAGCCTGAATGTGATATGGACAATAAGGTCCAGGTTGAGGTGGTCTCAGATGGAGATGAGGAACTTATTGGGAACTGAAGCAGAGGTAACTCTTGTTATGTTTTAACAAAGAGACTGGCAGCATTTTGCTCCTGCACTAGAGATTTGTGGAAGTTTGAACTTGAGAGAGATAATTTAGGGTATCTGGCAGAAGAAATTTCTAAGCACCAAAGCATTCAAGAAGTGACTTGGGTGCTGTTAAAGGCATTCAGTTTTATAAGGGAAGCAGAGCATAAAAGTTCAGAAAATGTGCAGCCTGACAATGTGATAGAAAAGAAAAACCCATTTTTTGAGGAGAAATTCAAGAGCAGCTACAGAAATTTGCATAGGTAATGAGGAGCCGAATGTTAATCCCCAAGACAATGGGGAAAATGTCTCCAGGGCATGTCAGAGGTCTTCACAGCAGTCCCTCCCATCACAGGCCCCGAGGCCTAGGAGAAAATGGTTTTCTGGGCCTGGCCCAGGGTCCCTGTGCTGTGTGTACCCTAGGGAGTTGGTGCCCTGCATCCCAGTTACTCCAGCCATGGCTAAAATGGGCCAGGGTAGAGCTCAGGCTATGGTTTCAGAGAGTGCAAGCCCCAAGCCTTGGCAGCATCCACGTCGTTTTGGACCTCCACAGAAGTCAATAATTGGGGTTTGAGAACCTCTACCTAGATTTCAGAAGATGTATGGAAACTCCTGGATGCCCAGGCAGAACTATGCCGCAGGGGTGGGGCACTCATGGAGAACCTCTGCTAGGGCAGTGCGGAAGGGAAATGTGGGGTCAGAGCCCCCATACAGAGTCCCCACTGGGGCACTGCCTAGGGGAGCTGTGAGAAGAGGCCCACTTGCTTTTGATTTTACAGGCTCATAGGCAGAAGAGACTAGCCTTGTCTCAGATGAGACTTTGAACTGTGGACTTTTGGGTTAATGCTTAACTGAGTTAAGGCTTTGGGGGACTGTTGGAAAGGCATGATTGGCTTTGAAATGTGAGGACATGAGATTTGGAGAGGCCAGGGGTGGAATGATATGGTTTGGCTCTGTGTCCCCACCCAAATCTCATCTTGAATTGCAGCTCCCATAATTGCCACATTTTGTGGAAGGGACCTGGTGGAGATAATTTAAATCATCAGGGCGGTTTCCCACATGCTGTTCTCATGGTAGTGAATAAGTCTCATGAGATCTGATAGTTTTATCAGGGGTTTTCACTTTTGCATCTTCCTCATTTTGTCTGGTCACTGCCACGTAAGAAGTGCCTTTTGCTTCCTGCCGTGATTCTGAGGCCTCCCCAGCCATGTTGAACTGTAAGTCGTATTAAACCTCTTTTTCTTCCCAGTCTTGGGTATGTCTTTATCAGCAGCGTGAAAGTGGACTAATACAGTGAGGCTGCAAATTTTCTAAACTTTTATGCTGTACTTTCCCTTTAAATGTAAGTTCCAACCTTAGGTAATTTCTTTGCTTATGCATATGAGTATAGCTTGTTAGAAGCAGCCAGATGAAACCTTGAATGCTTTGTTGCTTAGAAATTTCTTCCTCCAGATACCCTAAATCATCATTCTCAAGTTCAAAGTTCCACCTAGGGCAGGGGCACAATGCAGCTAAGTTATTTGCTAAGGCATAATAAAAGTGACCTTCCTCCAGTTCCCAATAAGTTCATCATTTATATCTCAGACCTCCTCACATTGGACTTCACTGTCTACATCACTATTGGCATTTTGGTCATAACCATTTAACCAGTCTCTAGCAAATTCCAAACTTTCCCTCATTTTCCCATCTTCTGAGCCCTTTAAAGTCTTCCAACCTCTGCCTGTTACCCAGTTCCAAAGTCACTTCCACATTTTCAGATAGTTTTATAGCAATGCCCCAGTCCTCAGTACCAGTTTTCTGTATTAGTATGTTCTCACATTGCTATAAAGATATACCTAAGACTGGGTAATTTATAAAGAGAGAAGTTTAATTGGTTCACAATTCTACAGGCTGTACAGGAAGCATGATGCTGGCCTCTACACTGCTTCTGCTGATACCTCAAGAAACACAATCATGACAGAAGGCAAAGCAGGTGCAGCCATGGCTTACATGGCAGGAGCAGGATGGAGGGTAATGAGGAGGTGCTCCATACTTTTAAGTGACCAGATCTCATGAGAACCTACTCACTAATTTGAGAACCTACTCACTATTATGAGAACAGCACCAAACAGATGGTGCTAAACCATTTATGAGAAATTCACCCCCATGATCCAATCACCTCCCACCAGGTCCCACCTCTAATACTGGAGATTACAATTTAATATGAGATTTTATGGGGACACAGGTCCAAACCATATCAGCTATAAACAGCATTAGTGAGATCTGCCATTTCCTTGGAGGGTTAGTTTGCAGATATTAGGGGAGGTTGTGGTGGATTTGTGCTGGGGACTGGGACGTTAAGCATGTCACTGTTTAAGCCCCAGTCGTGGCAACAGTGGGCTGATCATGCCTATCTTTATTCCCTAGGCTGATATATGCTGGCAGTGGTATTGGTGGTTACCAGTGGACCAATTCTTGGGCTTCTAGTTGGCTTGCTTGGATGCCAGTCATGGGCACAGTGGACTGAGCAGGTGGACAAGTTCTTGGTCCCCTAAGCAGGCACTGTGGTATGGGTTATGGTAGTATCAGTGACAGGAAAATTATCTGCATCCCAGGTACTGTATGTTGATGTGGGCAGTGGCTATGATGGGCTGGGTGAGCCAGTCTTCAGGCCCTCAGGTGCCAGTTAAGGTAATAGCAGCCAGGAGTTTAGAGTTTAGGGCCAACCTCATGCCTCTGGGAGGTGCACTCAAGTGCCCAATGTGGTGGATTGGGTTGGGTAATCCACATGATCCTGGGCTAAGTCCTGGGGTCTGTGCTGGGCAGGCTTGTGCTCAGATCTCCCAGTGGTGACAGTAGTCACTAGCTGTAGTGGGCAGGGGCAGGGCAATTCTCAGGTCCCTGGCAGAATGCATGAGTGAGGGGCAGTAGTAGCCACGCTGAGGCCCCAGCATTGCAGAGGTTGGCGTTGGCCTTGGTAGCCACATCTTGGGCTGGGGAGTGGGGAATGCACATCATTCTCATGGCCCAGTCCTGTTGCACTTGCCTTCAGCCCTGGCAGTGGTAGTCCTTGCCTAGGTTGTACCTCAGCCCCCGCTACAGGAGCCCCTACTCAGCTTGTGACTAAGTTTCAGTGGCAACTTGCACCCAGTCACATCCCATTCTCAGTCTCAGTGGCACTTGTATTCTACCCGGCAGCTACAGCCAATGCCTTGCTTGTTTCTCAGCCCCACCCGTGGGAGCTTATTCCCAGGTCATGTCCTAGTCCCAGCAGCAACAGCCCAAGTTTCCCTAATGCCTCAGCCTCAGCACTTCTGGGCCCCAGGACAGTGTGCAATCTGCTCAAGGCTAGGATTCAAACTGGCATCTTGCTGTAGCTGCTTGGGTCTCAGAAATGATGTGGGACCTAGTGCAAGCTCCCTCCTGGGAGCAGTTCTATCACATGGTCTACGAACAGCTCCATATTTTAGTTTCAGGAGTTGGGAGCATTGAGGGGCTGTCCCTTGACCAGGGTTGCATGATTCCATGATGCAGATGAGGGCTGCTGGAAGTCTCTCACTCACCCTTTTCCCATGTATGGAAAGTCACTCCTGGCTCCCAGCTGATCTCAACCAAACAGGCTGCCTGTCTTCTTCCTTCCTTGCTTTTGGTGTTTCCTGTCACTTTTCTGTTGAATTCTGGTCTTTGCTCTTGGATTATATATTCAAAATGTGATTAAAGTGCCAAGATGTATTTATGAAATGACATTAATTTATTAAAAAATGAAACAAAATCTAACAGTTTTATTTGGCAAAAAGGCAAATCTACAATTATAGTTGTACATTTTAATAGTTTTCTCAGCAATTGACAGAACAAGTAGAAAAAAAGTCAATAAAAGTACCAAAAAAAACCCCCAAAACCCAATATCATCCACCACTTTAATAGACGTGAATAGAATGCTATCCCAAGCAACAGAGTATACTTTCCTTTTGAATGCACATGGAATGTTTACAGAGGTATACTATATGCTGGGCCATAATGGGAGACTCAATAAGTTTCAAAACTGAAAATATCACAGCATATATTGTCTAACTACAAATATATGGAACTAAATATTTGGCCCACATATTTAGAGTTAAATATTTTGTACAAATATTTAGAATTAAAACACCCTTTATATAACTATAGCTAAAAGAAAAGTTACAGGGGAATTAAATTATTCTTTAACTGAAGAACAGTAAAATACAATGTATCAAAATTTGTAAAGCTGCTGAGAGGCAAATTCATAGCTTTCAATCTTTATGTAAGAAAAGATAGAAAAGTTAAAATTAATCATTTTAGTCCTGACATAAAGTTAAATGAAAACAAGAAAAACAAATCAAAATTAAAGTGGAAGGTTAAGAAACACTACAGTAGAATCAATGACATTGAAATTGGACAAACAATAAAGAAAATTAACAAGGCCAAATATTGGTGCTTCATTAAGAATGAAATTAGCAATCTCTAAAAACTTCATCAAGGACAAAAGTGACAGAAAACACAAATTGCCAATACTAGAAATAGTGGATGTAGCTGCAGATCCTATATTCTTTAAAAGGATACAAAGATAAATATTATATAACTATTATACCAGTAAATTTGGTAAATAATATAAATTGATAAATATCTTGAAACTCAATTTACCAAATTGACAGAAAAGAAGTAGAAAATCTGAATATATAAAATTACATACAAATATTTAATATAAATTAATTTATAAATGTAATTTATATTTATATTTTTAAAAAATTATATTTTTTTTATCTTTTTTTTATATTTTTAAAAAAGATTCGGAACTAAATATTTGGCCCACATATTTGGAATTAAATATTTGGCCCAAATATTTGACAAAACTTTTTGACAAGTGAAATACCAAGCTCAGATAGTTTCACTATTAAAATCTGTAAAACATTTCTTTTTAAAATACCAATTATACATAAACCTTTTCAGAATTAAGAGAATAAAGTTACAGTTCCAAATCATTTTATGAAGACTGTGTTACCCTGATTGAAAACATGACAAAGACCTTACAAAAAATGAAAATTATGTTCCAGTGTTTCTTATGACATAGACTTAACACTCTTTTGCAAAATAATTCCAAATCGAGTCCAGCAATATATAAAATAGATAGTACATTATTACCAGGTGAGGTTTATCCCAGGAATTCAAGTTTGGTTTAACATAAGAAAAATCAATCAACGTAATACAACATCTTAACAGAATAATAACACAGTAGTTTCAGCAAGTACAGAAAAGCCACTAGACAAAATTTAACCCATTGCTGATAAAATTTATAGCATGCTAGGAATAGAAGAGACATTGTTTTTCTGATAAAAACTTTAAAAGTTCTACAGGTAACATCATAATTAATGGTAAATTATTGAATGCTTTCCTTCTAAGACTGGGAACAATGCAAGGATGTCCATTCTTACTACCTATTTAACGTGGTATTAGGTGCCTTAGCTAGTGAATAGATGGAGAGGAAGGGCACAAGGATTGGAAAGAAATAGGAAAAAATTGTCTTTTTTCACATATATAATATCAACTTTTTTACATAAAAATTGCTGAGATCTACAACCACTAGATTTATGAAACAAATTTAGCAAAAACAAAGCTTACAAATCAATGTACAAAATTAAATTGTGTCTGTCTACTAGCAAAAAGAAAGAAAGAAAAATGTATTTACCGTAGCATCAGGAAACATGAAATAATGAGAATTTTAAAAATATGCAAGCCCTCTATACTGAAATCTTCAAAGTATTGATGTAAGTAAAAAAGACCTAAAATAATGGGAGAAAGATACCATGTTTATAGATTGGAAGGCTCAGTTTAATTGTGGTTAATTCTACCAAATTGATCGATCCATGGATTCAATACAATTCTGATTAAAATCACAATGGGATTGTTAGTAAAAACTGAAAAGTTATTTCTAATAAGGTAATGTAAATTACCTAGAACAAAAACAAATTAATTTTGAGAGAGAAGACCAAAATCTGGGCAAGCATACCTGATGTCAGAACTTACCTTAAACTCTTATCAAGTCAGGGTGATATTAATGTAATAATAATAAATGAACTGTATTGTAGAGTTTAGAAATATCCATACATACATGGTTAATTTTTTTTCCCACAAATGTGACAAAAAATTCAATGGAAAAAAGAAAGTCTTTTTGACAAATGGTTTTGAAATAACTAGCTAAATATATGGGAAAAAATTATGAAAATTATCTCCTACTTACGCTACATAAAACTATTTGAGGTGGATCATAGACATAAAAGTAGAAGCTTTTGTAATCTTATACGTAACTTTCATTAAAAAACATAGAATGTCATTATGAACTTTGGATGGATAGTGATTTCCTGGAAATGACCCCAAAAGCACTACACATGAACAAAAAAAGGATACAATGGACTTTATCAAAAATAAAACATTTTCTGTTAATCTATAAACACTATCAGCAAACTGAAAAAGCAAGTGGCTATATTCCCAATACGTGTATCTGAAAAAGGATCTGTATCCAGACTATATAAAAAACTCCTAAAAATCACAAATAAAAAGACAAAACACCTAATAAAAGTGGGCAGTAGACTTCTACAGGGAGTTAGTTTATTAAAGAGAACATAAAAGAGGCAATGAACACACGAAACTGAGCAATATTATTATTCAACAGGGAAATATAAATTTAAAACACATTACTATAGCATCACTCATCCAATATATTGTCTCAAATGAAAAAGACTGTCAATATCTTGTTTCTGAGAATGTGACATAATGAGAACTCTCTTAACTGCTGGTGGAAATGCAAAATTATATTATTACTTTGGAAAACAGTTGCACAGTTTCTTATAATGTTAAACCTCCCATGATTTAACAGTTACATTCTAGATATTTACCAAGAGACAAGAAAACATATGTCTACAAAAAGATCTTAGAAGAATGTTTGTGGTAGTTTCATGTCTAATAACTAAGAACTGACAAAACCATGAATGTCCATCCATAGTACAATGGATAAATCACTTGTGGTATATTTGTAACATGAAATGCTAATCAGCAACAAAACCAATGTGTTATTGATAAGTACAACACGTATGAAACTCAGAAACTTTAATTTAGTAGAAGAATACAGACACAAAATAATACATATTAGTCTATTTTTATAGATATCAAGGACAGGCAAAACTGATTTATAATGATAAAAATTGAAGAATCGTCACCCATAATAGATGAGATTTGACTGAAAGTAGGCATAAGAGACATTCTGGTGGGCTAGAAATATTCTTTATTTTTAATAAGTTGGAGATTATATATCTTATATGATTC
The DNA here is from genome assembly GCF_000001405.40 of Homo sapiens. Taxonomy (NCBI): domain Eukaryota; kingdom Metazoa; phylum Chordata; class Mammalia; order Primates; family Hominidae; genus Homo; species Homo sapiens. The sequence goes on from NC_000002.12 coordinate 188,566,112, forward strand.
ATAAATTTATCATGATCTGTGCATTTCATTGTATATAAATTTTACCCCCCACCTCCAAAAATGTGATGGTTGGAGAGTCAGAAATCTGGATTTAAATTCAGTTTCTCCATTCACTAGCTTTAGGCAAGTTATACAACTTTACAAAATTGCAGTTTCATCATATGTATTGTGGGGTAATAATAATCCTTACTTCAGAGCCATGATGAGAATCAAGTAAGATAATATATGCAGAATATTTACTAGACAGCTAAGTGCCTAGTAAAGATGTTATTATAAAATGAGAACATGGTTTTTTAAAGTTATTAATATAAATAAATAATATGAGGCCAAATGTCATTAATGAATAATTAATAATGTTACCATTTAAATGATTCTTTATAATGTACAAATTGAGTATTTAAAGATAACATAATGTCTCGTTAAAAGGATACATCGACACTTTGGGAGGCCAAGGCGGGTGGATCACCTGTGGTCAGGAGTTCAAGACCAGCCTGGCTAACGTGGTGAAACCCAGTCTCTATAAAAATAAAAAAAATTAGCTGGGTGTGGTGGTGCGTGCCTGTAGTCCCAGCTACTCAGGAAGCTGAGACAGGAGAATCTCTTGAACTCGGGAGTGGAGGTTGCAGTGAGCTGAGATTGCGCCACTGCACTCCAGCCTGGGTAGCTGAGTGAGACTCCATCTCAAAAAAAAAAAAAAAAAAAAAAAAAAGGGGAAGGATACATCGAAATCATAATTTAGAAGGGAAGCAACCTATAATTAAAAATCCAACCATCTGACAAAGGTCTAATATCCAGAATTTGCAAGGAACTTAAACTTATTTATAAGAAAAAAACAACCCCATCACAAAGCGGGCAAAGGATATGAAGAGACACTTCTCAAAAGAAGACATTTATGCAGCCAAGAAGCATATGAAAAAAAAACTCAACATCACTGATCATCAGAGAAATGCAAATCAAAACCACAATGAGGTACCATCTCACACCAGTCAGAAGGGTGATTATTAAAAAGTCAGGAAAAAATAGATGCTGGCAAGGCTGTGGAGAAATATAAATGTTTTTACACTGTTGGTGGGGATGTAAATTAGTTCAGTTATTGTGGAAGACAGTGTGGCGATTCCTCAAGGATCTAGAACTAGAACTACCATTTGACCCAGAGATCTCATTACTGGGTATATACCCAAAGGAATACAAATCATGCTACTATAAAGACAAATGCACGCGTATGTTTATTGCAGCACTATTTCCAATAGCAAAGACTTGGAACCAACCCAAATGCCCATCAATGATAGATTGGATAAAGAAAAGGTGGTACATATATCCCATATCCCATGGAATACTCTGCAGCCATAAAAAGGAATGAGATAATGTCCTTTGCAGGGACATGGATGAAGCTGGAAGCTATCATCCTTAGCAAACTAACACAGGAACAGAAAACCAAACACCACATGTTCTCACCCAGAAGTGGGAGTTGAACAATGAGAACACATGGACACAGAGAGGGGAACAACACACACCAGGACCCATTAGGGGGTGGGAGGCGAGGGGAGGGAACTTAGAGGATGGGTCAATAGGTGCAGCAAACCACCATGGCACACGTATACTGTATAACTAACCTGCACATTCTGCACATGTATCCCATTTTGTTTTGGAAGAAATTTTTAAAAAGAAGAAGAAAAACGTCTTTTTATTGTAAAATAAACAGAAACCTATTACCCAAAGTTTTGAAATGAGAAACAGAAAACAAATTATTCATAATCCCACAATCTATCAAAACCACTTCTTTAATATTACAAATAATCTTAATATCTAACACAACCAATTAGTTTAAGTCAATGAACATGCATACATTGGTATCTGTCATTTTCATTTATTTGGTAGTTTTTATTATAGCTCGTTGTTTACTTTCTTGTCTTTTTTCTTTTCTTTTGTAAAACAGTCTTCCTTTAAAATATTATGTACATATTTTGCATTTTTTAGTTAACTAGGTTAAATACTATATTTTTGTCTAAAACCCTCCTTAAATAATGAACTATAAAAATTCTATTAAATGATATAAGATGATTAACAAAGCATGTTTTCATTTTATGTTGATCACAGTAGATAATAAATTATTAGAATTTGTAGTAGAGTTAAAGCATAGCATTTTCAATATATATTACTACTAGTCTTCTTGTTATCTGGAGGTCTTACTAAATATGACATAATTGTGACAACATTAAATCTTATTGATGCCTTTACCAAAATTCTTTATAATGTTGATTAAGTAAATAAATCTTTAGTCTTTACTATGTGCAAGACATTATGAATTCAGTGGAGATATGAATGGAGAAGAAATGAGCTTGTGGATGTAAGATATATTTGTGGCAGTTTCAAATCAATAGATCTGAGATTGTAAGTTGTTTACAAGCCCAAATTCAGATGACATATATATTTTGATCACTGGCACTGTGTTTTACCAAAATACAAACTGTTTACCATCGCTTAAAATTGGGAGCTCTCATATAAAATTTCAGACTTCTGGCCTCATCTTTCATACATAAGATCTGACAGTTTCAGATTGGAATTGCTCACTTCCACCAGGCAACAATTAACTGGGACAGAGTAGCAGGTGTTCCATTTAGAGGGCATACCTCAAGTTTTCCAGAGACACCACCTGGCCAGCCTCATTCAAGTTACCTGCTTAGGGTTTAACAAACCCTCCTCACAAGGAAAAGGAAATAAATAGCAAAGCAAGGAGAGAAACTACATTTGGCACTCTGCTTTCATTTCATAGGCACTAAATATTTGAGAAAGGGAGAAAAACAAGTAGGAAAAAACAATACAATAAAAGAGATGAGAAGTTTGACATAAAGAACTCTTGCTTCCAACTTTCCCACTTCAACAGCTATTCAGTAATACCCACCCCCAAGTCCGCTTGTTTTTTCAATGTTGTGCCTGGGTAGGTGTTGAGTTATTACATTAGCCTACTACCTTGCTCATTTAATACATCTCTACTCCCAACTGTTGCCCTTTTGAAGTACCTCTTGTGAATGTCTTGGAGTAAGTGCTTATATGAATGTTGTTTTCTCGATTCAAAAACAGTTTGACATATTATTAAAATGCAAATCTTTGTTTGATTTTTACACAGGCTGAAGAGATCACTTTAACAATTGGCCAAGCATTTGACCTGGCATACAGGAAATTTCTAGAATCAGGAGGAAAAGATGTTGAAACAAGAAAACAGATCGCAGGGTTACAAAAAAGAGTGAGTAAACTAAGCTTGTTGTTTTACATTTGTGTGATGTAAGTACAGGGAAACTTGCATATCGTCAAACAAATTTAGAAGCCCTGCCATTAAATTTCACCCACACTGACTGATTGGAACTGCTTTCACCGTGTTCCCATAATTTTTCGTTCCTGATCCCCTGCACAGTTTTTTTTTTTTAACTATTTTATATTGAATTCCCACAAGAACTTAGTGTTCTCATGTGACTTTGCTTCACTTCCTGATGCTTCTCATGGGGATCAGAGCAGCAGAAGCAGCAGATGCTGGGTAAGTGGTTTTCCATGCAGATCAGATTCCTTGGTAATTAAATTATGCCTTTCTCCACTCTTCAAAATCATCATAAGCAAGTTTCACTGTCTTGTGGTTATATTCCAAGATTATGGGTATAGATTGCACAGTCCAACAAGAAAACACAATGTTGAGATATTAGGAACATAAAATTTGCACACACATAAAAATATATTATAAATTTAAGTCTTTCAATGATCTAGAATCCTCCAGCATTTCCCAAGCTTTATCAAACAATTTTCTCCCCACGCACAACAAAGTACATTAAAGTTTTACGTAATATAAATTCCTACTCATAACTGTAGCCAATATTTTCCAAGAAAAAAAAAACAGAAAGTTATTCAATAATGATTTTCTTTTTAGATCCAAGACTTAGAAACAGAAAATATGGAACTTAAAAATAAAGTACAAGATTTGGAAAACCAACTGAGAATAACTCAAGTATCAGCACCTCCAGTGAGTATATTGAATATCCTTAGAAACAAGATTTTATGGTGATAAAACATCTGTGTATCACTAGTTCTGCAATATTTCATATAATACTTGGGGATCAGTAATTTCAAAGTAAACATGGATAGAGATGAAGGCTGCTAAGCAGTTTAATTTAAAACTTAAAATTACCTAGTCAGTTCAAATCAGAGTTGTTTTCTATGTTGCTGTTTTCCTCTGGGTTTTCTAACATAATTCAACCCTCAGGTTAGTCTTAAGTTTTATTACATAATATAATTTTTCTCTTTGTGGCATATTCTTCTTTTGTTTCTATTAATTACTATTTGCTGGGTTAGATTTAATGACCTATGCCAGTCTCCCCTTGAAGTGCTCAACTTCATTGTAGGAATTCAACTGTGAGCAAGACTGAACCTGGTTTCTTATATTACATGGTAAGGGTTCCCGCTGGGAGTGAGGCAATTGTATTTCAAACATTAAAATGAGTGGTATTCTCTGCAGACAAAACTCAAGTCTTTGTAGTTAAAATATTTATGTCTGACTTGTCACAGTTTTGAAATCCTTTTCCCAATACCATGTATGATATCATTATTACATGATTTTGGCAAAGGGAATTTATTGGAGGGAGGTGGAATTTAAAACAATATTTTTTCTAGGCAAAATATATTCAGGAAAAGATATTTTTCTGTTTGAATCATCTGTACTACTGATATTCTTTATTAAAGTGTATTTATTATTCTTCATTTAAAAATATTTAATATCTATGCCAAGCACAGTGGCTTATATCTGTAATCCCAACATTTTGGGAGGCCAAGGCAGGCAGATCATTTGAGCCCAGGGGTTCAAGACCAGTCTGGCAACATGGTGAAACCTTGTCTCTACAAAAAATACAAAAAATTATCCAGGCATATTGGCACACACCTGTAGTCTCAGCCACTGAGGAGGCTGAGGTAAGAGGATGGCATGAGCCCAGAGGTCATGGCTGCAGTGATCCATGATAGCACCACTCCACTGCAGCCTGGGTGACAGAGAAAGACTCTGTTTCAAAAAAAATTAATATCTAACTTATAACATAAACATGAACTGAAAAAAGAAATTTGTTGCAAAATTTTTTATGGAAGCTTATTGTGCTTCAATACGTAGGATAAACTCAATGAAAATGTTCATTTCTTAATATCTAATACTAGAATCATTCACAAGCTCATCACTATGAAAAAGGATGTTTCTATAGAAGTTTCATTTAGGGTTTCAAACTTGGCACACTCTGGAAATGGGTCAAAAAATGATTTTTCCTGTAAACTCACATTTTTCCACCTCCCATTTGAAAGAGTGAGTATTTCCATTGCTTGGCAGATGGTTTGTGCCAGTAGGGCTCCTATGGCCTTGATGAGAGAGGTTGGGACTGAGGTACCAATGTATCTATGCTGGAGCATCCTCTTCAGGTTCTGGTTTTATTCTGATATTCCTTCTTATTTTTTCTTGTCACTGTCTGCTGCTCACCAGGATTATGATTTTTTTCTTGCCTCTCTCGCTGCTAGGGACAGAACATCAGTTCAAACTCATTATTCAACCTTCCATCCCAAGATGGAACACACATCCTCTTGGGTTTTGTTGAAATTCATATTGTAAGCCATGTTGCGAAATATGCTAGGAGAATAAGAATAAATGTACTTCATTTATGTGAAGGGAAGTAACTTTTTCAAGGAGTTTTGATAACGTAGTTGTTTCTGGAATTCATCACATATGAAGAGTAGCTTTGCTTTCATTTTTGTGTTGACAAAGGAGTAAAATAAGCTCCATCACCTTCTTGGATGCAAATCCAAACCTGGTCATTGTGTAACCTCTTTATCTGAGGAAGAACATTTGAGAGGAGCAAAGAGGTTTCAAACATATTAATAAAACTGCAGCCTACCTTTTTTATCTTCCCAAAGCAGACACTGCTCTGAGAAGAAGGTGGGTCAGGATTATTAATGTGCATTGGTGATCTCATAGGGTTACTGAGTCAGCTTCAGAAATGACAAAGGACAGGAGGAATGACAAGATGACCCTTGCTTCAGTGTCTTTGACCATTTGGCTGAAATAGCCATTTCAAGTGGAAAGCATGCAAGTTGGTATATAAATGAAACATAGCCTATTCATAAGTATAATTCATTTATTTAGCAATTCTCATTAGTAGAGCCAGTTATATATAAAGAGTAAAAATAATGAAATAGCTATGTTTTAAAATGAATTAGCACTCCTGAGGTTACATCATTTAACAATTATTTTAGGCATTGTGTTCATCTCAGCCTGGATTTATCTAAATAAAATGCTTCAAAAACTACAACTAAGAGGTTGAATTTAAAAACAAATCACTTTCTTTAAATCACGGTCTTACACTGAGTTCATATATATGTAGAAAATTTATTGTATCCTTGATCATTATGGAAATAACAAATTATAACTTTGCAATCTACTTATAGTCTTTTGTCATGTAATGTTGTTGTCTACACTTTTTCTTTAACTTTAAAAATTATTTGTCACATGGCTTTTTAGCTCTTAAAATCTTATCATATGATTTTTTAAATTGTTGATATGCTGGAAGATATACATCTTCATTAAGATAGAATCTGGAGGACATTATACTAAGTGAAATAAGCCATGCACAGAAAGACAAATATCACGTGATGTCACTCATATGTGGAATCCAAGAAAGTCAAACTCATAGAAGCAGAGAGTAGACTAGTGGTTGCTGGGGGCTGGGGCAGAGTTGTGGAGAAAGGGTCTAGAAGATGATCAAAGGATGCAACATTTTAATTAGGAGAAATAAGTTCAAGAGATCTCTTGTACAACATGGTGATTATAGTTAATAACAAGGTATTATATACTTGAAAATTGCCAAGAGTAGTTTTAATTGTTCTCACAACAAATATGTGAAAATAGAATTTATTTGATTTTTAGAAGAAAGTGAACTCAAGAGCATTTTAAAATTGCTAAAATTTAAATGTAAAATTAAATGCTAAAATGTAAAATGTAAATTAATGAGATATCTAACCAATTCAAATGGTTTAAAAAACATTGTTACAGCATTTGCTAATGTGTTTCCTATTAAAAAACATTTTTGCCTTTCATTTCAAATTTTAGTAATGTAGCTATGAAATAAACTCGTAGAACACTTAAGTACAGCTTATTTATCTCATATCTATTCAAATGAGCTCCCAAATTCCTGATATTAAAATAAAACAAAAATAGTTACCTGCAATTATTTTTGAAGATTTATTAATGATTCAGATTATTGAATTTGAAAAACAGACAATGCAAATTGCAAATAATAAAATGTGAATTTAAAATATTTAATAGCTTACCATGTGTCTGCAATAAAGCAAATTTCTGTTAAGTTAGAAATGTTTTACATCTGTTCTTTCTTATGAAATTTGAACATCAGTTTTACAGGACACACAGCAGGAACACAAAGTACCTCACAGAGTGCCCCCATGGCTAGCAAAGTAAATGTTTAATGAGTTTATAACCCTGGAAATAGGACTCTGTGGGTTTTATGTGTTTGTTTTGAGCTCAGAGGACTGAGGATTAGAGTGCTCCAAAATGAGTAAGTTCTCATCAGTTTATTCAAAGGATTAGAGGCAGTGATCTACACATTCATTAAAGAAGCATTGAAGTAAATTATGAATCCCGTGATGCATATTGAATTACAACATAGGTGGGTATGGTGTATGCAATTAATTTAGCATCTGATGAGTTTTTAGTGGTGAGAGGAGCCCCTAACACAGAAAACTCTTCACAACTGACCAGCCCAAGACAGGTCTTGATCCCATTGGAAGCCAAATTTTTCAAGTCACAGAAAGGTGACACTTTTGTCAAAAATCTCTAATTGAGGTGTAGTTCTTTATAAATGATTTAATGCTATAATTTGGTTCACAAATATATACTTATAAGCACAATAATGTTCTAAAATATCTGGATATGCTGGTCTAACACAATATAGTTCACACTAAGCAATTGCTAGTCAAATAAAAGACATATTTAATCTTAGCTTTAGTATAGTCTCTTTGGGGAAAGGGAAAGAAAAAAAGTAGGAATGGAATTTTGGGAGTTGTGGAATTAAAAGTAAAGTGAAAATAAAAATAATGTAAATCACTATTATAGATATTATTTTATTTTCAGTTTATGATGAAGTAGAAGATGAAGCCAGATGTGGCAAGCAACAGAAACATTCTTGATAAAATTTGATTAGGCTGGGCATGGTGGCTCATGCCTATAGTCATAGCACTTTGGGAGGCAGAGGTAGGCTGATAGCTTGAGTCCAGGAGTTGGAGACCAGCCTAGGCAACATGGCAAAGCCCCATTTCTACCAAAAATACAAAAATTAGCTGGGCATGATGGTGCATGCCTGTAGTCTCAGCTACTTGGGAGGTTGAGGTGGAAAGATTGCTTGAGCCGGGGAGGTGGAGGCTATGGTAAGCCTGGGAGGTCAAGGTTGCAATGAGCCGTGATCATGCCACTATATTCCAGCCTGGGTCACAGAGTAAGACCCTGTCTCAAAAACAAACAAACAAACAACAACAACAACAAAACTTGGCTAGATAACTAAAAAATGACAAGCCATCTTCTCTAACAAGAGGTCCAAAGTTAAAGTTGAATTTCCGTAATACAAGACAATGATTCAAATCTACCAAATCGTCTAATAATATATTACAGTCTTATTGATGTTGATATCCTTATTCTATGTTAAATCATAAATTTAAAATGTGAGGCCCAATGCAGTAGAATGATCTACATGGACACCTTTGTATTTTAAAGAGTCTCTGTTTAGGTGAGAACATACGTGCATGTTTCTACTTTCCTCAGAGACACTCTAAGGGAAGGTTGCTATTTCTTAGAAAGTTTGTCAGTCACTTATATGTTATATACATGAACATGAATTGGTCATACTGATGGATTTTGAATTGCAAACTAAATAATTTTAGGTTGAAGCCTTGAATAAAAATATTCAAGACTTCTAAAAAGTTCCCTCAAGGTTTTATGGTGTACATTTTAGTTTTGGTTTTGGTCTTCCTAGTCCCACTGCTTCATCACTGGGATTTTGAAATTGTTCTTAGTAGTAGACCGTATGTTACAATGCATATCACTTTAATTTTCATTTTGTCTCACTTGTCTATTGTATACATTTGATATAGTTGTGATCTGCTATGGAATATTATAAAATGTGTACTGAAGATCTAATATTTCCATACGTCTAGGCTCTTTGGTTTTTACAGTTTATGTATTTCAGATGTTAAAGGGTTTACATCCATGGGGGAAAGAAAGAGAGGTTGGTAATAAACACGTAAATATTTCAATAAATACATGTAAAAATGTAGATCTTATATATGCTATGAATAAAACAAAATAGAGCAGAATAGAAGAGAATGATTGAGAATTTTGTTTAGAGAAAGTGACCAGGGAAGCAAGCTCCTTCTAAGGAGGTAGCACTTGAATTGCAATCTGAATGATAAAATGTTAGCAAATGCAACAGGCTGAAAACAATAACAAGAACTTTGCAGCTGCAGTGTAGTGACTGAAAGCCAAAATAATTGGAAAAGACATTGAAGAGAAACTCAGAGTCTAGATTTGATAAGCCTTCACAGGCAATGGCAAAGGATTGGTATTTTTTTTTAATGCAATGATATGTCACTTGAAGGTTTTAAATGGGATTTGTGGATCATCTGGCTGCTATATGCAGCATGGACTCTAAAGAGGCCAAAGTGATATCCCAGAAGGAGACATTTCAGTAGTCTAGGAGAAGGGTAAATTGGCCTATAATTCTACCTGTGGAGGTTATGAGCAGAGCTTGATTTTTGACACATTTTGAAAGTAGAGCTTGCAAAATTTACTAATGGATTGGTTGGGGGCAGTACACACACACACACACAAAAGGAGCAGGAATGTCCCTTCAGGTTTTCTCCTTAACATGTGGGAAGTGATGCCATTTTCTGAAATAGACATGACTTAGGAGTAGTGAGTGGTAAAGAATCAATATTTCACTTTTGCCTACGTTATTTCTGCCAACTAGACAGCCAATTGGAGATGCTTATTCGATGGCTGAATATACAAATCTGGAATTCATAGAGAAGGTCTGGTCTCATGATGTGTGCTTGAGTGAAAAAAAAAAGCTTGTCCTTTTTTATTGTCATTGTTTATTGTTTAGTTAATATGCCCAATATAACTTTGGTCACTGTGAGCTTATGTAATTGAGTTCTAGCTAAAGAAAATAATATGAGACTACTTTTTTGTTCAGTATTAAAATTAAGACATCCCTAACAATAAAAAGTATACCTTTAATATTTGCTTCCGACCCTTTTCACTTAAAACCAATTCACCAATTCTTCATATGCATGATAAATGGAGACCACTCCTATTTCTCACTTTCTCATATAAAAATTGATATGAATATATAACACTTCATGTATATAAAATATTTTCTTACTTGTTTTTAAACAGAATACTTACATATCTTCTAAATACCACACAGTTGGGTCAATCATGGGTTCCTTTTCTATCAAGTGAAATAGCCTTCAATTGTACCTATATTACATACCTCTGCATCACACTGAAATTGTGGAAATCTTTTCAATGGTTTTAGAAATTGGATCCTTATTTTATACAGTCACTTAGATACACTGAGAAATTTCCGTTACTTGACTGTGCTGTTTGCTTTTTGCTGTGTTTCAGTGGTTTGGCAATAGATTAGAGGTTGGGTTTTCCACCATTTGGTACTAATTTTCTGGGAACAATCTGATTTCCATTTATTACATTCATATGGCAATGCTGCCTGTATTTATATTAGAAAAAGAGTTTATTCTGCCCTCATAGCCTCATAGCCTCATGAATGCCTGCAGAAGATTGTTTCATTATAAGATGTGGGCATAACAAGTTAAATCAAAATGTTCCTCTTGATTCTTGTATCTGGGTACTTTCATTTTACTCTTCTGACTATAGAAGGTTTTAACCAAACCAGACTATTGCCAGGAAGTTAAGTGAGTAAAATTGTAGTCCTAGGGAATACTGGATTCTATTGCTGAGTAAAACAAATGTCTTCCTTTCAATTAAACCCAGTGTTAGATAAAATTATTTCTTTACATAATCAACTGTGTGGCCACTGATTAGACTTGATAGGACAATTATAACCTAAAACGTATATTTCATTGTGGATAAACAATGTATCTATTTATTTTCCTCTAGTGTTTTTTCTGCTACTATTGAAGTGAGAATGGGCAAGAGCAGATTGTGAAAGGTCTTAATTACACAACAAGCTGAATGTGAATCTTTAAACAAAGGCATAAATTTTAAACATGAATTGGTTCAAGAATATTTGATGCCCACAAAAAATGATTACCATTCTGCAACTTCACTTTCATAATTGTTAGTTGCACAAGATAATTCTAAAAGCATAAACCCTGTCTAACGGGAAGAAAAATATGTTCCCATTCCAGTTCTGATCATAAGTACCTGGTCAAGTCATTTAGCCTCTCCTTCTTTCAGTTTTCCACTTTGTGGTACAATTATATCCATTTAACTTGAAAGATTCTTGTGAAAACTGTAAGATAGTAGGTCTTACAACTAAGAGATCAGTATAAACCAACTGCAGACCTAGAAATCTGAAAAAACACAGATCTTCTGCTGTAAGTTCTAAATTAGAGAAGTCATTACCTTTAAACTTTATTTAAAAAGTGATATTGAAGATACATTATAACAATGAACTTTAAAAGTATGAATCAGCATGGTAATCTAGAAAGATCTGCTAGAACATTTTATGCTACCATTTTCTTTCTCCATCTTTAATGTTATTTATAATTTTTCGGGTTTTTTAACTAGAAAAAATTGATTTAATATATAAATGTAAGGGAATTTATTTCTTAATTATTTCTTAATTTAATTATAAATAGAATTTTGAACCCTGCCATTTTAGTAATTGTGATAAATTATATTTTAATCTTGACATTTTTGTTTTATGTTTAAAAAGTCTTTGGATATTTTTATTGCCAGTGCAATTAACAGCAAAACATAAAATTTCATTATAATGCTAATATTTCTGTAGATATTATGACAGAATTGCTTAATCTTAAAAGCAGTGTTTCTGTTATTATTGTTTAAATGTATTTAATATTTGTGGATAGAATTCAAACACTTTTATATTTCTTTTTGTTGTCACATTTATATAAAACTCAAGGTTGAAATATTCACCATTGCCTAAATGCACCAAGACACTACTTACTGAAAAAAAAGAGCTACAAAGGGGAGGGAGAGCATTAGGACAAATACCTGATGCATATAGGGCTTAAAACCTAGATGACAGGTTGATAGGTGCAGCAAACTACCATGACACATATATACCTAGGTAACAGACCTTCATGTTCTGCTCATGTATCGCAGAACTTAAAGTAAAATAAAAAAAAAAAAGAATAAAAAGAGCTACAAAAATGTAGCAACAACAAATCTCAAACATGGACACTCATTATTAATATATCTGAATAACCTAACAACTTCTGTATAATTACCATATAATTTTTGAGCACAGAATTCCCCTAAGTATAATAATTCAGATACTGTGCATGTTCCTAAAGACCAAAACACCTGGAACTACGAACATAAAGCAGTTGCTTGAACAGTGGTGCCATGTACTTCTGTAGGACAATCCAAAAAATTTGGTTCCTAGCCATCTGTCAGAACACTGACAGAAAGACCAAAATAAAATTCCTCAAACTGATTTTCTTCTCAACAATGTATTTAATTACTTTAACACATAAACATCCTCAACCAGTTAAAAATAGCAGCCAAAAAAAAGACTGGTTCCAGAACCTTGAAACCTAAGTGCGAAATTGTCACTGTTTGCCATTTAGGTGCTACATCCGCACGTTCATATCCTTATTGAATAGGCCTAACCATTTAGTACAGAATCAAGCACCAAATTTATCCATATATTTAAATGTGCTGGACTTAGATTTCATTTTTATAGGGAATTACATATAACATCTGATTCCTTGACTTGAATTGCTTCTAGGTTAGGAATCAAAAACTCAAACTTTAATATAGCCCAGATTATGACATTCAAGTGTGAAATGGGCATATGGTAGGAGTGATAAATTTGAAAGCACAGGCTACCTTCAAAGACACAGCAGATATTCAATACCACTCAACTATTTTCATGCAAGTATGTGGGCCCACTTTCTAGATTTCCTAACTTCTGGAGAAAAGTTCTGGATTTTAATATGTAATCTATTTTTATATATTAATTTATTTTTAATTTAAAAATTTCTATTGATACATATTAGTTGTACATGTTTGTGGGTAGAGATGATATTTTGATACCTGCACACAGTGTGTAATGATCGAGTCAGGGTAATTGCAATATCCATCACCTCAAACATTTATCTTTTCTTTGTGTTGGGAACAGCTAGTTCTATACTTTAAAAGACCCATGTGATCTAAACAAAAACTGCCAAATTGCTGATGATCCAAAGAAGACCTGTGAGGACTAGTTCTGGAGTATTAAACTCTAGTACCAAAACAGTTGACATTATTAAATATCCCTGATTTACCATTCTGAAATTGAAAAAACCTCTTAATTGTAGTATATAAATACTTGATTATTTTTATATTATATACATTCTCCATTTCTGTAAGTTTACCTCCCCAGAGGAAGTAGTACTATGAGAATACTGCAGACACCATGATAAAAATAACAGAGCACTTTCAAGTAAGGTTATTTTGACCTTCAGTTGGTTTTCAGGTACCTAGTAAAGAATTTTGGCCAACATATATCCTAAAAAATATAGAGTATTACCATGTATATTTTAAACTAGATAATATCAAGGACAACTTCCACTTAATATCTTATCTTTACTCAGTACAGACAGCCTTATCAATTAACAGTTTAAGTAAAAAGATGCTCTGGTATAAATTAGACAATAAATATCATTTACACTAATGTGTTACATAGAGTATTTGGGAACGAAAAACAAAAATTTTCTCACAAAGAGCTTACAATTGTAATCTGTAATTAAAAGGTGGCTACCAAGGACAGAATTTTACAGTAAGTTATATCGAACAAAAACAGATTTTAAAAATTGTGTACATACACATCTCTACATAAATAGATGGAGGTGTATTACAATGGAGATCAAGGCCGGGCGCGGTGGCTCACGCCTGTAATCCCAGCACTTTGGGAGGCCGAGGCGGGCGGATCACGAGGTCAGGAGATCGAGACCATCCCGGCTAAAACGGTGAAACCCCGTCTCTACTAAAAATACAAAAAATTAGCCGGGCGTAGTGGCGGGCGCCTGTAGTCCCAGCTACTTGGGAGGCTGAGGCAGGAGAATGGCGTGAACCCGGGAGGCGGAGCTTGCAGTGAGCCGAGATCCCGCCACTGCACTCCAGCCTGGGCGACAGAGCGAGACTCCGTCTCAAAAAAAAAAAAAAAATGGAGATCAACAGAGAAATAAAAAATTATGTATTTATATATGCATATTAATAGAGTGATTAATTATATAACTCAGACTAGCAGAGGTTCTGCTTCCACACTGAACCCTTCCCTCAATTTAATCTCTCACTTTACATGGCTTCCTTTTTCTCTCTGCTTCCAGAAATATGTGAAGGGGGGCCTCCTAGCTTAAGGACATACCTCAGACTTGTTGGTCCTTAAAATTCTAATTTTAGTTACTACCTTTTACAATAAAGTTTATCAAAAATCAGATTATTTTTGGCTGCCTGAATTTTTGTTAGTGGTGAAAGATCTCTGACATGTGATTTGCGGCTGAGGAATGTGGCTCCCGGCCAGAATCTTATGTGCGATCTTTCTGGCCCGAGCGTAGGCAGTTACAAAGGCTTTGCCTGGCACACCTCATCACATTGTATTTGGTGGGAGAAAGGTGCCCTCATCACATTGTATTTGGTGCACAGTTTGGAGGAATTGAATCTAGTACTCAGGTGCCCTGGCCAGCCATGCTCTTGTGCATATCTGCATTTATAGCCCAGGCAACTCCACTCAGGGGCCTCCTTTTAGGGGGCCTTAGGTGCCTCTCCTGAGACCACCTTATTCGAGGGTCTTGGAGACCACTTTTCTCCAGTATGACTCAGTATTCAGTACTTTTCTACTGCTAGCCCTTCCCTTCTCCCTCCTACCGTCTCTTGTCCGAAAAAAACCCTCAGGAACCTTTTGTTCAGGAGTCCCTAAGTAATGAGACAAAGCCTCACTTCTGCAGTGATACATCTGACCCTTGCTCAAGTGCCATTCCTTGGGGAAAATGGAGCATTGATGGAGCAGGCACCTTCTCTCTGGCCTCTTGCTTATACTATAGCAGTAAATGAATAAAGACTTAATTATTACTTCCATTTTGGCTGCTGTTTAATTGGCCACTGTGACATCTGGCAGCTCAGCTCTCTCCAGCTCAGCTCTTAACAGTAGCTTTCCATGTTGTAATGGAAATAGCCCCTAAAAGTCATGCACATACTGATGTTCAGACCTAGTACACTGCTTGCTTGTTATTCATTATCTCTCTGATTTATTTGAGATCCTTGTCAATCACCTCTTCCCATCACCCAAAAAGTCTTACAATTTGGAGCTCCTCATGACTATAGAAAGGGCATGATGACTAGAGTCAGACTGTTTTGAATTTTGAATCTGCTTTCTACCTCATACAAGTCACAAAGAATCTGTGGACCTTAATTCCCATGTATTTATTGTAATAAGGACATAATATCACTACTACTGATACTTCAAATAATGTTTTGAGGATTAAATATAAAATGTATGTTGTAATCCCTTTTGAAAATTCTACACAACCATAACTTTATGTACAAGAGTTTACTCCTAGTTCTGTAACTGTTCTCTCATTACTATCCTTCCTTTTTCCATTTCATTACAGAAGCCCTCTCCAAAATAAATCTTCAGGCTTTCTTCATGTTTCTCTCCATTACCTTCCTCTTAGGTCCCGATGAATGCAATATTCTATTTAAAATACCAAAAAATGTAATATTTCAGTAAAAAAAAGATCAAATTAAGCAATCCAGAATCTAAGGACTATCACATAGGAAAATCAACTCTAACTCTATGTTTTAATTTTAGAAAAGTTACTGTGAAATGATCTTATCATCTTAACAAAACACCATTTTACAAATAAATTTCAAGTATACTTTCTCCTTTCCTCCATGCCTGCCCTCTTAGGATATTTCTTTTTCTGTCATTCCTTTACAGCTGCTGCACAATATGTCTGATCATGAACAACATGTGTTTCAGAGATGCTCATCCTCTTTCTGGCGTAGTAATGGTGATTCATCTCCCTGTCTCAATATTTCTTCCATCTCTGTCACTCCTATCAACTCGCCTGATTCCAGACTATCACTGGGACTGTTAATACCACCACCTTCTAAATGTGGCTTTCCCAAGCCAGTCAGTGAGAGCAGCATCCCAAGACCTCATGTAATTTGCTAAGCAGATAATTCTTTTTTATTATCCCACTTATTTTGCTTAAATTCTGCCAAAATGTGCTATTTGTAAAGTTATCAAAAATTTAGATGTATCTTGAGTCAATGTGATGTGATCTGGAGCCTTTGTGTGCCATTGTTGTTTTCTTTGATTACCTGATACCAGAAAGTTTCAAGTAGAGGGTGGTGACAGTGTAGAAATTTACATACAGATACTTCAAAGGATCTATCAGATGTTGCAGTTGGGAAATTAGATCATTGGTAAGAGCAATTTCAGCAGAGTTCAGTGCAAAAAGAACAAATCTAGATTGATAAGAGTTAAAGATAGAATGAAGTAAATCTTAGGACAGAAAGTGTAGTATCTCTTTCAAGGAGCTTAGCCTTGAAGGAAAAAGAAAAACAGAATAGAGGCTGGAAGATTAAAGAGGGACAGAGTAAATAAATTTTTGATTGATTTGTTTTGCTTTTAATGACAGCCAAGATTTTAGAATTTTTGTATCGTGAAAAAGAGTAGAGATATAGAAGTGAGAGGGGATACAGGAATGGGATAATTAGGGGAATGGTATTGCTGAGTAACAGTAAAGGGGTGAGGGGATACAATAAACAAATTGTTAAAGAAAGGGGGATGACAGCAATTTTCCTGCATGAAAAATAATGTACTAGCAATTATTTTAGCTGAATAGCAAACCCATCATTCTCTACACACAATAAGCCTGATTTTTTCATCACCTGCACTACCTGTGAATCAGAAAATTAAACGTATTCTGAGAATTCTAATTTTAATATGAACTACTGGAAGCAATCTCTGTCCAAGTTCTCACAGGAAAAGCAAATTTTTCGCCACTATTCCCCCAAAATGGAAATTCTCTTTTATCCCTGATCAAATCAGATGGTTTTCAAAGGAGATTATACATATATACATATTGTTCCCTGTTTTACAAAGTGATAAATGTCTAATTTTGATATTACTTCTTGGCTACATTTTCATGAGATTTTCATTTATCTTTCCCTATATGTGTTCAGTCCTGGCCCAGACTGTATCAGAAAACTCAATGATTTGGGCAGTACACTGGCGATTATTAATTTAGTTTATAAGATTGCTATTTATTACAGAAAACTTGATGAAATCTTTCAGGAGTAAAATGTACTGCAATGAATATCAGTTGGTTCCCATTGTTGATATAAATACAAACTAAAATATACTCTACTTTTGAGAATGCAAAAAAAATCAATTGCATTTGAATGTTTATATTTAAGAAGGCAGGTCACTTATGTCTAATTATTCCAGTTTAAAATGTAATCTTATGCAGCGTATCTTACTGAAATCATATTTTTACATGAATAGTTTCTAATATATCTAATTCTCTGTTACAAGTAGCAGTCATTTCTATATATCCCAAAAATTCACTGTATCTTTTATATTCATCTGGAATAATATTGTCACCGTTTTTGCCATCATCTTTGAGAGCATTTTTACAGAAATTTTCTATTGCTTTCTTCTAAATGAGCATTTATCATAATTAGTGGAACCATATGAAATTGCGAATACTTAACTATTTTTGGTCTACAAAATGGCAAATTCTTATGATGCAACTGAAATTGTTGTTTACATATATTTTATATGCATATGAAATATTTAGCATTACAATGTGTCTATATGAAATATTACCCTAATTCATTTATTTTCATTGCAGGCAGGCAGTATGACACCTAAGTCGCCCTCCACTGACATCTTTGATATGATTCCATTTTCTCCAATATCACACCAGTCTTCGATGCCTACTCGCAATGGCACACAGCCACCTCCAGTACCTAGTAGATCTACTGAGATTAGTAAGCTTTCTCAACAAATCAAAGTTTCTTGTTATAGTTGCATACATTTTAAATATATAATTAAGACTTTGTGGGAAATTACATATCTTAACAACCTTACTTACAATTTTAATTATTAAAGTATTATTTTTATATTTGTATAAATTTCCATTAATTCTATTTTACTTTATAATTCAGACTACACTACTAATGACATCTCTGCTTGCAACTTTTACCTATTGTGTGAACAATTATGTTTTGGTGTATTACTTCATATTTAATTATATATCACTGTTTTGGGTTATATTTTTAATATTTTACTTTAACTTTTAAAAATAACTGGTGGTAATTAAATTGATCATTTTTTACATGTTTAATAGAGCTGGTTAAAATATTTTTGTTATCATAGGGTTTATGGACTTTTTTGTTAAAAAATATATAAATTATATCATGATTTCTTAACCTTTTGTAAGGGTTCTTTCCTATCTAAAATGCTATAAATTCATTGCTTTTCTGTTTTATCTTTTATATATCTGGAAGGAATATTAAAGTCTCTTTTTGATGAATTAGAAAACACCTATAAGCCTGTAAAATAAAAAGCAAGTTAGTTACTTGTAAAATACAATGAGCATACAGGCATTGGGTGAACGTTTCCATTCCAAATTGGAGAAATTGGCAAAGCGAAGGAGCCACAGGCCCCTTGCAAGTTTGAAACCCGGTGGGGCAGTCATTAAATCTTAAAGCTCCAAAATTATCTCATTTTACTCCATGTGTCACATCCAGGGCATGCTAATGCAAGGGATGGACCCCAAGGCCTTGGGCAGCTCCACCTCTGTGGCTCTGCAGGGTACAGCCCCCATAGCTGTTTTCACAGGCTGGCATTGAGTGACAGGCACACAGTGCAAGCTGTTGGTGGATCTACCATTCGGGGGTCTGAAAGACAGTGGCCCTCTTCTCACAGCTCCACTAGGCAGTGCCCCAGTGGGGACTCTGTGTGGGGGCTTTAACCCTACATTTCTCCTCTGCATTGCCCTAGTAGAGGTTCTCCATGAGGGCTCTGCTCCTGCCACAGACTTCTGCCTGAACATTCAGGCGTTTCCATACATCCTCCGAAATCTAGGCAGAGGCTCCCAAAGCTCAACTCTTGTCTTCTGTGCACCTGCAGGCCCAACACCACAGGGAAGCCACCAAGGCTTAGGGCTTTTACCCCATGAAGCAATGGCTTGAGCTGTATCTTGGCCCCTTTTAGCCATGGCTAGAGCTGGAGTGGCTGGGATGCAGGACATCAAGTCCTGAGGTTGCACAGAGCAGCAGGGCCCTGGGCTTGGCCCACGAAACCATTTTTTCCTCTTAGGCCTCTGGACCTTTGATGGGAGGGGCTGCCGCAGATGTCTGACATGTGCTGGTGACATCTTCCCCATTGTCTTGGCTATTAACATTCAGCTCCTTTTTACTTATGCAAATTTCTGCAAGAGGCTTGAATTTCTCCTCAGAAAATGGGTTTTCTTTTTCTACCACATAGTCGGGCTGCATATTTTCCAAACTTTTTGCTCTGCTTCCTTTTTAAACGTAAGTTCTAATTTCAAATTATTTCTTTGTGAATGCATATGACTGTATGCTTTTAGAAAAAGCCAGGTCACATCTTGAATGCTTTGCTGCTTAGAAATTTCTTCTGCCAGATACCCTAAATCATCTCTCTCAAGTTCAAAGTTCCACAGATCTCTAGGGCAGGGGTAAAACACTGCTAGTCTCTTTGCTGAAGTGTAACAAGAGTGCTCCAGTAACACCTTGATAGATTTTTCAGTGTCTAAATATTCCTGAGTATCAAAGTTTGATAAATATAGACAGAGAAATAGAGATTATATAGACATAATCTATATAAGTGAGTCACTCCAAGTCACTTCTTGTCATTTCGTTTACTAAATTTTTACTTCCTTTTACAACGGGACATGTTTGAAGCAGAACCTTTTCACCAAATCTTCCCTTTCATTAATTCATTTTTTAACAAACACCTACTAGGTGAAAAACATTATTCAGTATGCTTATGGTGTAGTGGAAACCAGGACATTTCTCCAGAGAAAAGATCCTCTGAAATCTAAATTTTGATTGATTGCCTGAGCAACACTAAACTGAGGAAAATAAATAACAGCAATAGTAATATTCATCAGTTATATATAAGGTAACAATAAATTCCCATTTGATTAGGATAGCCCTGGCTTATAGATTTTTACCCAGTGTAACTATTGGAAATGCTCCTTTTAGTTTTAAAAGCATCTGTATTTGGATGATAAATTATATGTTCTCCTTATTTATACAATACCTGCAAGTACAAGGAGCTTGTAAGAATTTCACATTTATTAACTTATTTAATACAAGAATCTGGGAAAAAACATGAAAACTGGAAAAGTAAGACTCCTTCACAATGAGAATCACAGAGTGATTTTAGAGGATATGGCAGAAATCAAGTAGCATAAATATTATTTCTTTTTTAATTTTTTAATTTTTTAATTTTTTTATTATACTTTAAGTTTTAGGGTACATGTGCACATTGTGCAGGTTAGTTACCTATGTATTTCTTACATAGAATTGAATTTAGAGAATGTAAAGTTCTCTGCAAAATGAAGGTATGAATATGTTATAAATACTAATTTTCATATATAGTGTAATGTTTTTCCAATTAAGGATACATTTGAATTGATTCAGAGGAAAGAAATTTCTTAAGAATTTTTTATTTTAAAAATCCCATAATAGGCCGTAATCTATCAATTACAAACATCAATTTTAACTTTGATACTTCTTTAGTGATAAAAAAGTAGTGCATACTTTAGAACATATGTACAGAAAGCTTTTTTGACATTGCATTCCTGCTGCTTTTAAAAAAGAAATGTATTTCTGGGATAGGAGGCATTTTTAAAGAAACTATCTCATTGTGACTATCTAGAAAGGTGACATTTCATACTACATGAGACAATGTGCTTTAAAATTTTCTCTGAATAAAAGGAGAGATAAGAGTACATGAACTTTGAGTAGAGCTACTTACAAGTCTACTTAGTCCTACATATTGCTTTACTATTGTGTTGCAAGGCATCAATCAATGGAATTAGGGTAGTCTCAATGAGTAGTGCATTAATTTTAGCAAATTTAAATTGCTTCAATAAAATATAGGTGTTGTAACATACAATTATCAGCTCTTTGGTGAATTTGACATTAAGAAATCTTCACTAAAACACAGAAACCTCTCTAGATAATAATTCTTTATAATAAAACTTTTTAATATCATAAAATGGATCTTTTCTTCCTTGTTAATGTTTAACTGGTCTAAGGTCAGGAAAGCCCAACATACAGTGTAAGTGTGGGTTAGTGGCTTATTTGATCATGTAAATATTCATTTATATAATCCTGCCTTTGAAATCTAACTAACTCCAGCTCACTTCTTGTTATTTCATTTACTAAATTATTTCCTTCCTTGCAGAACGGGACCTGTTTGGAGCAGAACCTTTTGACCCATTTAACTGTGGAGCAGCAGATTTCCCTCCAGATATTCAATCAAAATTAGATGAGATGCAGGTGACTATTTTGATAGACTGGCCCATAAATGATTTATTTCATTTTGATATGGGACAAAGAGAATGTTATGTACCAAAACTATGGTTTCCTTCAATTATTTTCGCTATAAAAACTCGCTTAAAATAATTACTTTAAAATAATAATGTACAGTTAGTCCTAAAAATACTCCTACATATGCTAAGGATAAGGTTGTTGGTTTTTTAAATGGTTCAATTTATAATGTCAATAAGATGGTTCATTTTTTAAATACAAAATGGCATGGATTCTAATGGTTCATTGTTCTGAAATCTAGAGTTAAACAGTCACTGCATTAGATTTATAAGATTTGATCTCAGTCTTAACAATTATGAATTTGAAAATTGTAAATGGGTAGATGAAGGAAAATCTTTGTAAGAGTGAAATTATTCTCTCTGAAAAGAAGCATTGTAGCTGTAGTTCATAACTTTTGGGCTTTTATTTAAAAAGCAAACAACCAGTGACAACTTATTTAGGAATGTAGTTCAGTTGGGTTTTCATTTCTCTCTCTTCCTTTTACTTTTTTGTTCTAAATTGGTCTGAAGTTTACAGAAATTGGTTTTAAATGCTTTGCACTATGGGCCATGATTTAAAAATAGTCTTATAAACCCTAGAATAAAGTCTTCTCTTTATATTTGCCCTTTACATTTTGGTGAAGTTATTATATCCTATTTTTCATCAAAAAGTTTATATATGGTAGAATCCAGACAGACACCAATTATATGAAGCTGATTGAGAAGAGACAATGAAGACACTAAAGTAAGGAGAAGGAGGTATTTTTGTTTATTAGTCTTGGGTTAATACATTAATTCTCTATGCCTCACTTCCTAGAAAAAACAATTATGGGTGAACACTGATCTATCACTGATAATTGCAATCCTTCTTAGAAAGTTAATTTAAATGCCCTTTTACTCATTTTTGACTGCAGCTGTGTAGCTATCTTATTTTCTAGGTAGTACATGAATTCATTATTGTTCTAGATGTAATAACATGCCTGAATTTAAAAGTTGAATTACTTAACATATGTCTTGAGGTTTTCAAAGAATCTATTAAAACAGTGTTTCTCAAGTTGAATGATTCTTAATCCCCTTTTACATAAAAATTGTTTTAGATCCTTAGTATTAACTTACAATTTTTAAATATTGACAAAAATGTTATAAACAACTTGTCCTTATGGTTTTTATAAAATTATGAATTCAATAAATTATAAATTAAATGAAAGCCAAATTGCAACACCAATACAGGACGGATGATCTTATTTGGTTAAAGCTAAAACCACCTTATCAAATTTCTATTGATTTCAACATGTATTCTATCTGATGGCACAGATTTCCTAGTTCTTTTCTATATTTCAAACGCTATGAAACTTTCAAATGGCGCATGATAATTTAGCAAGAAT
This sequence comes from Homo sapiens, assembly GCF_000001405.40. NCBI lineage: Eukaryota > Metazoa > Chordata > Mammalia > Primates > Hominidae > Homo > Homo sapiens. Next base: position 188,589,364 of record NC_000002.12, read on the forward strand.
GCTGTATTTCATATGAAATCAATTCCTTTTCTTTTACATTAGTTTTACCCATTGGACATGTACTATCTGGTACTAATGCTTTTGTAGTAACAAAGAAATATTTATGTGGTAGTATTTATTCTCAAGGGTTGCACAGGTCATACAGAGTACTTCTCTAAAAATTTTTTAGATTTTCCCAAAATTGGAAAAAAAATTATGGAGTTTTAAGGATAAGCCTCTATTTCCAGATTTTGTTGAAACCAAGTGTGAGACACAATGTATTGGGATGATTGAGTGATGGTGACACTCAATGTTAAACCGTGGTGTTTTTGCTTTTGCTGTTTCTAATATTTTCTTAATGTCTTTTTAAATTCTTTACTGCTTTCATGGTGGGTAGCGCCAGAGATGGTTGGTATATTATTTTTATAATAATTTTAAACAACTTACAAATTTTTAAAGCTGAAACCTTAAAATTTGCATGCCTTATTTAATAAAAATTCAAACAACAGCTTCATATGGGTATATCTGATAATTAGTTATGTTTAGAGAGGTTTTATAAACCACATTTTAAGATTATTTTTCAGTGACTTAGTCACTATTGCATTGTTCACTTCATTGTTTCCTTTCTTTTCTTTTTTTTTTTGAGGCAGAGTCTCACTCTATCGCCCTACCCAAGCTGGAGTGCAGTGGCATGATCTTGGCTCACTGCAACCTCCACCGCCCGGGCTCAAGCAATCTTCCCTCCTCAGCTTCCTGAGTAGCTGAGACTACAAGTGTGCACTACCACGCGTGGCTAATTTTTGTATTTTTTGTTAAAAACAGGGTTTCATCATGTTGTCCAGACTGGGCTTGAACTGCTGGGCTCAAGCGATCTACCCACTTAGACCTCCCAAAGTGCTTGGACCACAGGCATGAGCCACCATACTTGGCCATGATTGTTTCTTTTAGTCCAATATTTACTTGCAAGGTCACTTTAACAAAAGTAAAATAATATTTTCTTCATCTAAAGTCTATGATGGCTTTTATTATTAATCGTGCTAGCCTAATGAATCTAATGCAGACATTTAGCTATCTTTGCATATCATATAAAAACTTAATATAGTACAATGGGTTGTGAACACCATATTGAGTTAATAAGCCTAGTGAGACATTTAGTTTTCATCTTTCATTTACAGAGTATTGTGACTAAGCTATTTTTAAGAGAATCGAATTATTAAGTTTGAAATCACAGAAACATCTCATGCATGTAAGCATTTATGCAGAAATGTTAGACCATATTTCAGTATAAGCAGTTAGAAAATTAAACATCTATTTGAAATCAATAATGTAGCTATTTGATTTGACATAATTTAAACTGTCCAGTACATGTCACCAACAGGAAAATAAGTGGAATAGTATTGATAGCCCACACTGTAACATGTGAGCTATAATAATTTAATACATTAAAAAACAAGCATGGCAAGTTCATGAATGATGAAAGAATCATGTATGAGTGGTGTTAAGTCAGCTAGCTAGTACTCTGGGAGAAGATCAATGTACTGCTGAAACTTACAGCAAATGCCGAGATAAATTTCAGAAGTAATCAACATTTTAAAATATTTAAAATATTATTGAATATTCATCAGACTTTTGAATTGAAAAGAAAATTTTATAAGGAAAAGAAAAATACGGACATATAGTATCCAATTTTTTAAAATTTACTGTCTAAAAATATATAAATACATTACATATACATAATTAAAGCAATTAGACAAATGGCTAGGAAACTAAAGAATCAACAGATAAATAAAAAAGCACTAGTTCACAAAAGAAGACCACAAGTGGCTTACACATATGTAGACATGTTCTGTCTAATCAAAGTAAACATATAAATCAAATAAAGAACTGTAATGCTATTTTAATCTAGCAGATTATTTTTTAAACTAATAATCAATCAATACAACTGAAAGTGTGATAAAACAAGCACTGTAAATTGTTGGCAGTCCAGAGTTAGTTCAGAGGTAACTATGGCCTAGCAGTCTCTTTAAAGGGTAGCTTGTTATTAATACTTTTATTTCTGTTTGATATCAAAACTTTAAAGCAATCTATTCTGATGAAAAAATAAGTATGAATGTGTTCAATCTCTGCGAATAAAAATACCTAGTCAACATTATTCATAATTTTAAAATGCTGAACGATTTTTTTTCAAATCAACGTAAAATGCATTTTTACGATGGAAACAATCATAAAAATTAATAGCATTTTATATAGTCATAATAAATTAGTTTTGTGGGAATTTAAAATAATCAGGGTCTGCAAAGATGAAAAGAGGAAGATAGAAAACTATATGTAATATATTACTTACATAAGAAAATTATATGGCATAAATATATATTCATATTATCATTAAAATCATTTTTAAAAATGTATAGATAGAAAAAAAGACATACCTCAAAATGTAGTGATTTTTCTTTCCTTGATATGCTTTTCTATTTCAAAATAAGAAAATTCATCAAAATCTTTCGTATAAAAAGCATATGGTGAATAATACTTTAATTATTTAATCATTCTTTTGTGTGACGTTAGCTTATGATAATTCCCATCACTACATAAGTAAATAAAGTCTCATTTTTATTAAGAAGTTTGAAGCTCAACAGGTGTGGGAAATTTTATCTGAGGAAGAAAGAAAATCAAGAAACCTTATAATATGTAAGGATCCTTAAAAAGTCAATATGGAGATAGATATTATTGTAAGTCATATACTAACACTTTATTATTAAAATAGTGATTGACCTCTGTTTTACTTTGGCTGCTATTCTGCTTTTCCAATATTGATAACACATTGACAAATAGTATTTTCAGGGTAATTGAAGTGATACTGGTTTACTAGCAGAATGAACTGATAAAATTTAAAAGTACCGTATGGTATCAAACATTTCCACATGTAACTCTCTTTCTATCTGTCATTATCTATCAATGTATCATCTATTTACCATTTGTAATATACCAGAAGATGACATAATATACAGATCTTCAGATATCCAAATAAAATAATTTTAAAGAAAAGTTTACTTACAGTATTTTAGTTTAAAGTATTTATTTTTCTAAGTATTTGCTGGCTGTTTGAAAAATATAAATAAATATGGCAAAATGTATTTTGTGATAAGAATAGATTTTTAAAAAATAATGATAAGTAGTCTCATATTTACTCAACTAAATAAAGATTGTATTCCAAGTACTGGAAAGACATTTTGAAAAACTTTCACAATGATTACATCACTGTAATTGCTATATAGTAGTAGTCTCTGTGCTGTAAACATAAAGAATATTCTTTGAACATTAATAACAAATAAAGTATGGCTTACAGCTTTGTAACTACCTTCCTCCTCTATATGATGATGTTTACATTGGATTTATAGAAAGATAAGAACATTTACATAATTATTCTAAATAAAAGTAATTTGGAGAGATGCAAAAAGATACCCAATTAGCTAACATACAAGTAGATATAGTCAGTCCAATTAAATAAAACACCCAAAGCAGAGGTGAAAACCAATGGTTACCTTTAGGAGACATTTTGTTTTCTTTAGGAATACACTGCTATCTGCATATTATTTGCCAATAATGTGTTGCATGGCCACTCCAAATTACAAATTACCTTTCTGAAACATTTCAGTTCTGTTAGTAAGAAAAAAAAGGTAGAGTATGTAGAGAGCACTACCACATTTGCTTCTACAAGGAGACCTACAATGTAACCTCCACTTTCATTGATCAGTGCAAGTCTGTGCTTTTCATCTTTTTGTAGGCCAATGTGTATAGATTTACAGGAAAGGGTAGGAATGGGGAGAGGTGGCAAGACTGGAGATGGCCCACAGTTCAATTATCTTATGCAATAAAAAAAAAAGAGATTGGAGTGAAGGAGGACAGACTCCTATGCCATTATTTTAATTCAAAATCTTGGTGGAAAAACACTTTCTTAGCAATTGTGTTCTTATACTCAATAAATCATAGACAACTTAACTTCTAAAATATGCAAGGAAGAGTAGGAGTCAAAGAAGCCAGTCCGCTACAAGCAACAGCAAGGCTAGTAGGGGAAGTTTTCTCCATGGCAAAGTAATCTGCAGTTGTGTGTTCCACAGAGGATACGGCATTGCATTTAAAAGAAGTATTTTACCCGGGCTCTGGTCAGTGCTAACCAGGAATAAGGTGAAAATCATCAGGCTATCTTGAACCTCTCATCAATTTGAAGCCTAACTATCTTAATAATATTTAAATTAATAATAATTTTTAAAGCTAACAGATTTCATTTACAATAGAATGATGTAGTAACTAGCCTTTTCTGAAAAAGAAACCTTTATCTTAATTTTATGTTTTCTCTTCTGTCTCTCATGCATGCTAACCTCACATAGATTTAAAACATTAAAGTGTTAATGGGTCTGAAAGAACTACCAGTGCTATACACCTATATAAAAATTCAGCAAGTCAACATTTGACATATAGTTATTTATTAGTTGATCAAAGCATGAATATTTCAACTTTAGTGCATAGTCTTTTTTATTCACTGATTTTATTTTGCTGTAAGCATTTCAGATATTAATTATTTTATTCTGTTTTACAGGAGGGGTTCAAAATGGGACTAACTCTTGAAGGCACAGTATTTTGTCTCGACCCGTTAGACAGTAGGTGCTGACATCAAGAACAAGAAATCCTGATTCATGTTAAATGTGTTTGTATACACATGTCATTTATTATTATTACTTTAAGATAGGTATTATTCATGTGTCAATGTTTTTGAATATTTTAATATTTTGAAAATTTTCTCAGTTAAATTTCCTCACCTTCACTATTGATCTGTAATTTTTATTTTAAAAACAGCTTACTGTAAAGTAGATCATACTTTTATGTTCCTTTCTGTTTCTACTGTAGATGAATTTGTAATTGAAAGACATATTATACAAATACCTGCCTTGTGTCTGAGTTCTATTTAGTTAGCATCTTGAAATTTGTATTCATTTTCCAGATGGCTAGTTTATTAATGATTTCCCAAAAGCCATACCTTAAAGATAACTTTTTAAATTCTGAAGAGACATGCCAATGTCAAACTAAACATGTTCTGTTTTTAAACCAACAAACATGTTACTATTCATTGGACAGATATCATTTTATGTATAAATACTGTTCACATCACTGGGAAAATGTAAACTTTAAACATAATGCCACAAGGTCACTAATTTCTAGCAGGTAAAATTATAAGGATATAAATTCCAATAATAAACCAAATGTATTTAGAGTATTTATTAGTAAATGCAAGGTGATGTTAGTTATGATCAGTTATACTCTAAATATTTAATTTGTTTTATAAAGGTAGTGAAAAAATGAAAATTTGCTATTTATTAAAAAACATTAAATTTCATTCCAAATGAGATAAGTGATATTACTATAACATCTAAGCATCATCTGATTTGATATTCCCTAAAAAACATTTGGAATATATGCTATCTATAGATTCAGTATCTACTACCCATATTTACTTTACCAAATATATTTCTCCTCACTGCATAAGGACTACTCTTCTCATATTTTCTTCTTTGATGAAGATATTTTTCACCAAAGTTTATTTTGTGATGCCCTCTTGGTTTTGATACTTTAAAATCTGTGGCACCCGTTCTACATGAATTATCAATATTTGGTAAATTCAATCTGTATTTGTTTTGTTAAAGTCAAAAATCTCATTTTCCAAAAAAAAAAAAAAAACCCAGTTACTGCTCAGTTTAGTCTTGAACATGAGCAATAAAATTCTCTTGCATTTCATTATTGATGTGCTGATGAACCTGGACTTTTAAAAATATTTGTTTCCTATACCTTTACCCTTTACCTAACAGACTAATTTGTACTCAGTAAAACAAAAATTTATGGTCAAAATTTCTAACTTGGTTCATCACATTATAAGATAAATAAATTAAATTAATGAAAATGTGACTTAGAGTAGGGGTAGCCCTCAAAAATAGATTTATCATTTACTCATTGGAATTTTCTTCAAGTGTTAAAGGTACATTTTCACTAGGAAAAGAAATCAAATATGCTTATGCAATATATATTTGTGTGTTTTTCCTTAATGTTATATGGTATATATGAGCCTTCTTGTTTAGTTTCTTTTATCTGCTAAGTTGTACCTTAATTAGAGGGCAATATATGTTTCATAAAGAAGAGTCTTTATAATTTTGTTTGTCAGATAGTATTTTGGAATTTGTATAATAAGGATGTTTAGAAGCCATATAAGTGGCTTTTTTTAACAGATAGAATTTGTATTTTTATTGTACTTTAAAAAGATTTATGTAATAGGTATATATTTAGTGGCCATTTATTATCAATGGTAACACAATGGAGTACTAAGATGGTATTTGCACATTTAAGATATGTTACTTTACCAATTTTTAATGGTAATCAACTCTGCTACTGGCATGATGAAATAGTACATAACTGGTCATTAATTATGAACATTTATTTCTCCAGTGCGTTTTTATGAAGATCTGGTTGAAAATTGTATTTCTATGTAAACTCAACGATATGTTTGGTTTTCCTGAAAATAAATGATTTTAAATAAATTAAATTGCATAATTCATTTGTTAAATAATCTCTAATTAATACAGACACATTCTGAAGCTAATTATGTAACAGATTTTCTTGATCATAAATGGAGATAAAAGAAAGGGAGGAAGAGGGAAAGGCAAAGAAGAAATAAAGGGCTTTACCTTTAACTTCATTTCTTGCAGCCCACACACATTTTAGCTTTATGAGCAAATATCATTCAGTTGTGAAAACAGTGGACTGATCCTGCTGGTGAGAGAGGTCATGATTTGCTTCCTTTTACCAGAAGCATCTGGTGCAAAAACTGTATTATGTAAATATCAATTTCATAACTGGAGGCTTTTTTTAACTTAGCAGTAATGAAAAGGGTGTCTTGGCTGATAGTTTTATAAAGGTGGAACTTGATAATAGGATGTGGATTATGACTAAGAGTGCAATCATGAAGAAGTTTTGAATCAATTTAAAACATGATGTTAAGTATTTTATGGACACGGGACTCACATGCACAGCCTTTGAACACCAAGGAACAATTCATCAATTCATTCAATAAAATTCATTTATTACTCACTTTATATGAATAACATGTACTTTATGGGGTAAGAAAACATCTAGCAAGTTTGCTAACAGATGTGTTAGCAGGTGGCATTAAATTGACAGGATCTCTGATTTCAGTCAGTTTATTGTCATAAAGTAAAAGTATGGGAAGCATATCAGTGAATAAATAAAAGCGAATATGTATCACAACACTGTGTGAACCAAAAACTTCCTCAGGAACACTTGTATTTAAGTATGTTTAAGTCTGGGTACCTCGTACTAGCTGATGTCAGGTATCAGTCATCCAGTGTGAAGTTTATCAGAGCAGGCCAATGGCAAAAATTTTCTTCGTCTCTTTTTGTTCTTTTATTTTGGATTTGGATTTTTCTAAAAAAATTTAATAATATTATGGGAATGTATTTTCAGTAGGATTTCTGATAGATAATATGTTGCATTTCTAAATACTGATTTTTTTATTCGTTTTTATGTTACTTAGCATAACCCTGAAAAAACTGGCTGTTAATGTTTTTCTATTCCAGTGTTTCCACATATACTTCCAGATTCAATATTTACTCATGATTTTGGGCTTCATCCTCTGTTAAATTACTTGAAGAATCTTGGAGTCAATTTTGACAACTGAATTTCAGACTCCACCTAAACTACACCCTGTATAGGGAACTTACAAATGTGATGGTCACAGTTGGAATTGCCCTTGGACCCCTGTGTCTCATGCAGAAAATGTCTTCTTCCTATATAACTTCAGACAAATATTTAAAATCTCACCCTTCTAAGTGCATCTCACAAATTTGACACAAACCTTAATTCTTGTACATTTATTTCATGTTTTGATCTTTTGTTGTTAAGGTCTGTGATAATCCACTAATGAAACTCCCTCCCTAAAAGCATAATTTCTCTAGAATTCTAAGTGGGATTTTCTTAATCTAGCAAGAACGCCACCTCCTAAAATCATTTATGGTCTATTTTCTTGCTTTCGAAATACAGTTTAAGAAATATGAACATTACATAAGTAGCAGACAGCATTGTCTTTCTCTGGATTCATTTTTTTCTGCTCTACTTCTTAGCTTCTAATCAATACTATGCCAATTCCAATGGCATACTTAAGAAGTAGTTGAGTTGAAAGGCTCATTTCTCATTTTTCTGACATTACATGATAAATTGAAATAACCAAATTTCTTATTTCTATATCATTAACATTGTGTTTTTTGTCAGTTAATAGTACCACGAAGACTATGTAACACAAATTTTGTAAAAATTTATTTCCTTTACCTTAGCTACATTTTTGGCATTCATTCAGATCTACATGCCAAATTCATTGAACCAAATCTTCTAGTTTCCAAGCAATTCTATAGACACCTTGGAATATTCATTAAGACTTTTAAAGGTTTGTATTTTCATTAAAGAAGGCCTGATTAGAAGCTATAGAAGTTGTCTTCTGAAAAGTATTTTCCAGTACCCACTGGAATAACAAAGTTCTCTGTGAAAGAGCACTCTGAAATCTCATAGTATTTTCTCAGTACCTTGGACATAATCAACTTATGATAGTTAATATATTTTCTAAAAATCAATAACACATTGTCTAAGAAACAGCTTTCTTTTTGTATTTTTAATAAAGCATTTTTAAAAAAGCTTTGCTCTCCATTTTTCAAACATTTTGAAGGAAGGATTGCCTTGACATCCTTCCTCTTTGTTACCAAGCACAACACTTTGTCCATAAGCATTCATTAAAAGATTGCATATTTATTTAGATGCTTCTTGCCAATGATGTGAACTTAAATTTTGTATGTTCTCTTAGAAAAGAACAACATGCCTTCAAATAAATGTTGGGAGAAGATAACCACTATCTCATTTTCAATAAAATATTTACTATTATTTTAACTTCTATTGTAGCAATAATTTGCTAAATAAATCTCTTAGTAATTATTGAAGTTTGTCTAACAATCACCATAGAATCATAGACTAAGGAAGTCTGGCCCAATTGATAGAGGAAAAACAAAATAATGGTTACTTAGTGTCAAAGAGGCTATGAAGATTCAAACATGAATGTTATGTAATTAAGGGACAGGGCCTGTGCTCACGGGGTTGGAGAAGTATTTAAGCGTGTATATTAAAGAATGACAGCTAAAAACACAAACTGTAACTTTTCTTGAATCCCATATTGTGGTCACACAGTTTTTACTGGTTTGATGTATTTTTAAGTTCATATTTCTGTCCTTTTTATTGTCCTCTTATTTCAAATGAGCTTTCAGAAGAACATGTTGGGGTCCTTCCCAACTGCCTACTCCCTCCCCTCTGTCTGGCCAGGCTGTTATGTTCTAGTCAGTTCCAAAGGTCACTTGTTCCAGTTGAAATAGCTGTCTGGATGGCTTGGAACTAGTCCAGACACTGGTTCTTTCCTGCAAAGAAAGCAAAGATAGATGTTTGTTTCTTGGCTACATTTTGAAAGGAAAAAATAAAATAATTTTATGGCTGGACCATGCTTGAAAAAGATCATATAATTCTAGAACCCATTTAAAATTGTTATTATTTTCCAATATTTTGTGTCTATTTTTATTTTTTATATACTTTTCAAAATCAGTTGTTTAGTATCAGTATCATTAGATAAATAGGCAATTGTGTGTCAGAAGTATATACAGATAGATTTTGTTACATTTTAATTAAATACTAATTTCTCTCTCACACACGCACTCCATTTAACTATTCAGTTCTTTATTTATCTTATTCTTAGTAGCTGCTTTAACTAAAGAAAAATAAACTTGAGTCAGGCTAGACAGTACAGGGAATGGAGGAGACAGGTAGTGAGGGGATACTCATAAATCTTCATAGATATCAACTTACCCACACTTGGCAAAGTGGCTGTGTGCACATATTTGACCTCTTCACTTTTCAGACAAGTTGAACCATTTTCGGGCCAGGGAGTACAAAGAATGATGCAGTTATCTGAAAAGTTGTTTCTACAGTGATTTCTCTTTAATCTCCCCTACTTCCCTCATAATGCCTGCAGTTTTTGTGTTTTCTACATAAAAGGAATTAAACAGAAAAATTGCTAAAAATAAGCTGGTTACTGTTTCATGACTTCCAGCCACCAATGGCAATTAGAAAAACAAATATTCCTTCCTTGGAATCACTTGAGTTCGTAAATTTGTAAACCATACAGCTCTTGAATTTTTAAGTAACTTTTAAAAAGATTCCTTACAATGAACAAAGCCTGATCTGTAGGGAACTAACTAAAATCGTTAACACTCTATGCTTTGATGTTACAGCTTTGCTTACAGCATTAATTCAGCATTCTTTGACTTTGGGAAATTCATGTAATGGGGTTTTATGTCTGACATTCACAGGCATTAGCCATTCTTGGCATAAGGAAAGGAAGAAATTCCCCCAAATAAACCTAAGATTTAAAAAACAATTATCAGAAGAATATGTATTTTACATTCTTTAACTTGCCTACTAGTTATAAATAAATATTAATCAATGACTTCTAAGTAAATAGTGTACCTGGCTCAGAATTAGAGATAATAGTAGTCTTGAAAAAAAGTACAGGAGCGATGACAAAACTGTTCTAGCCTTTGAATCTCCTTATTGTAGAAATATTTTATGTAAAATATTTCCCTTCATAACAATCAAAGTTGAATGCAGGGCAAAAATATCATTCTCTCCTTTCTCAACCTTTCCTACTCCTAGGTACACATTTAAAGACAGACCTCAGCATATATTTACAGTGGAAAAATGGAGCCTGTGTTTCTCTACAAAAGTATTAATGGCCTGCCACATCTTCAGGATGACTTCAAGATGAATAAGGTACGTCTCAAAAGAATTCCAAGGGTCCCCCTTTCCAAGTGAATATTAAACCTTGAAAATGCTGGAAAAAAAATTCTGAAACATACAAGATAATACTACATCGAAACACCAAAACACAGGTATTCTTACATGTACTCACATGGATAGAAATATTTAGATTCACAGAGAATTTGTCCTATACCTGGGTTTTTCAGGAACCTGCCTGTATGTGCTTAGGTTTTGTAATGTGTGTGAATATGAATATTAGAATACTTTCTTGAAATAGATTCAAATAAAACTTGCCTTTGACATGTTGAGTAATACTCTTTGAATGGCCTTTTTGGTAAAGTTTTTCTTGTTTGTTGTACCTGTAAAGGAAGGGAAATGCAGAGAATATAAAAATCCTCAGCATGCCGTTAAATCTTCCAAAGGCAGCAATTGCCCTGTGGGTTTCTCATCATTTTGCATCCCTTAATCCTTAATCATAGAGCTGGAGCTGGAGAAAACAGCTGGCCCTGAAAACCACAAATGGGCTCAAGTATTTATTATGTTATGCAAATTGATCAAAACTCTACAACTCTTTAGAAAATAATTTACAAAAAGAAAGAAACCTAAAACAGTACTTTCTTCTTAACAAACAGTTCAACTTTGTTTTGTTAAAGAAGCAATAAAGAATATTGATCTGATCAAATAAGATTTATTAAATAGTTTCTAGACAGAAAATAAAGTCAATGAGACCATGGAAAGCACATGAGTCATATGACCTAGTTGAGTTTATTTAGAACACACACACACTCACAAAAATTTGGGATTCCATCAAAACCAGATTGTTTCCCGCACTGTTCCCCGACTAAAAATTCGAAAGTCAAAGGAAAATTGGACAAAAATGTTCAAAAACGCTATGCACCAAAATTTCTAATAACAAACAAAACAAATGGGATAAAGAAAAAACTGTGTTATACCATTTTGATTTTTATTTGTCTGTTCAATAGTATTTTTATTTCATATAAATAACTTGCATCAAATACCAGTGATCTTTTCCTTTAAGAATTAGCAGGAAAATTATAATAATGAATTCATTTTGAGTAGTAAAATGAAACAATGTAACTAGGATTTAAAGAACGAGAGAGTTATTTTGGAATGTGCTTGCTCTTAAGAAAGGCCAACCAAGATTAAAATAAATGCATTAATTCATCATTGTTCTTCATGAGAATGAGCAATTTAAAGCAGAGAGAAACTTCAGCTCTGTTTCAAAAGGTCAGCTGTGATGGTATTCAAGGGGGAAACTGAAGTCACATTTTTAATACTTAAGACAGACGCTTAATGTTAAAAGACTTCTCTGATGAGATCCTTTTGTGCCAACTGCAGTCTATGCTCCTCAGTGGGTATACAGTGGAAGAAAAAAACAAGTAATTGTCCTTTACTAATCCTTTTAAGTGCTTCAACTGCACATACTCTGACGGGGCAATTGAAATGTCTGCACCCTGCTTACTTCTCCACTAGGACTATCCTCCCTTTCCAGTAAGAAGTCTCTCTCTCTCCATAAGTATATGTACAGAACTGAAGTTTTTAGAAATGTGATTTTGAATTTGCTCAAAGCCAAATATTAAAACAGCTTGGAGTATCCATTCTGAAAACAATTTAGACACATATTCTTTAAAAATTTCAATTCCTAAAGGAAAAATCATCAAAGGAAAATTGTATAAATAATGAATATATATTGGCAAGAATAGTGTTTATCCATGACTGCCAAAATTTAAGATTACTGATAGAGATTGTGGTATGTCTATGTGGCTAGAAAGATTATTGTCAGATGAACAATCTTTTCCATCCAGCACTCATCATAGAATATTCTTTGGTATATGTGAAACCACAAGTACATCAGTGGGAACTTAGTGCAGTAAGCTGGAAATACTGGAGTCAAACCACTAATCATGGCAGTCAGACTTCCCAGAATAAATTCATTGCAATAGAAGTTATGCCAACTACTTGAGTTAAAAATGTGGCTTTAAAAGTTACAGATCAGCATAATATAGAAGGGTTATTAGCAAACTACAGTAATGTGGTTTTAAAGTAGACAGTTTAAACAGCATTTCATAATTACATTTTTCTTAGATACAGGGTCTCAAATGAAAGACAGTTGGAAGCACCATCAGTTATATATTTAATCAAGCTGGGGTTTGCAGATGAATGTATCTATGCTGCCTAAGTGAATTTTGCTCATAAAATATGAAAACCTTTCATTGTGTAGAATATATGTCAGCATACATAGTTCACAAAACAGAAACATTTTTCTCATTGTAAACTACATAATTGTCCAGGCATTTTCATAAGTTAGTCTTAACTTTTTTGATACTTCATAATTGTGAATTAATATGACCTAGAGCTAAGGCAATTAGGAATATACAAAAGTGTGATTTTTTTAAGGTTTCTATTTAATATTTATAGCAATACTATAGACAAATTCAGGATGAAAGTCAGATAGGGTAACTATCTTTTAAACGTTTGTATGAACTTCAAATTTCAGACACAAACAAAAACTAAAGTAAGGTACATTTTAGGTTGACATACAATCTCTGGTTGAGAATTACTATTATTTTAATGCTACTTCTTAACCATACTAATTGTTATAAATCCAGTACCAGTGTGTTTAACAAAGTATTTTCCTGAAGAGCAAGAAGTATGTATATTTTCACTAATTTGTAATGAGGTCTTTACATGTAACTTTTTTTAGTTTCCATGTACTTTTTCTCTTTCTGTGTGTGTGTGTGTGTGTGTGTGTGTGTGTGTGTGTGTGTGTGTGTGTTTTCATTAAACATTTTGTGTTATTTTTATAAAGAAAAATTTGCAAAATGATTTTCTCTTTATATATATATTTCTTAATGCTACACAAGGCTAATTTTCTATACATGATACTTTTAAAAAATTATTTTACTTATGTAAGGATGCTCTTTTTGATCACCTACTAATTTGGCTCTATATATGGATTATTAATGCCAGGAAACTTTATGCATTATCTTTCACTGAGTTAATTTTGTGGAGCAGAAATAATCTGTTTGTCCTATGATGAAGGGATTTACTATCCTGCTCCCCCTCGAGGGTTTTTCACAATGTACATAAAATGATGTAAGTTATTTAACAGAAACTTCTGATTACCCATATCATGATTTTCATGCCCATAGATGCAATACTGCAGCATAAACATTTTTTCAGGTGAATAACCTGAAATCCACAATGCGTAGATATTTTCCTATTGAAATAAACAGTTCTGTTTCTCTAATATTCCACATTACTTTATAGACAAACACTTTTGACAGATGAAAATAAGAAAATAAAATTGTTTTTAAAATTCTTATGCTAAGAAATAGAAGGTAACATTTGTTTAAGTAGGTAATTAGCCAGTCTTGGTGGTACATGCCTGTAATCCCAGCTACCCGGGAGGCTGAGGCAGGAGAATCGTTTGAACCCAGGAGATGGAGGTTCCCGTGAGCCAAGATCACATCATTCCACTCCAGCCTGGGAAACAAGAATGAAACTCCATCTCAAAAAATATACATAGGAAAAATATTTATTTAATAATTTTAAAAAATTATTAAAATCAAAGTTATTGTCAATATTAACCAATGAATACAAATGTTCTGTAAATTATAAATAATTGTAAAATACATGGTACTATTATTATTAAATTTAATGGACAATAGATTTCTCTACTGAGATATAAAGTTTAGCCAAATATGAATTTTATTGTGTGACAGACTGTGGATTATGTTCTGTGTTAAATGTTTAAAAAACCTATAGATACTGTATGCTAACCCATATTCCTTTACTAGTTGTAACTTTGGTTCTCACTTCTTTTTATAGTAAAAATTACATTCAACTACAGTGATAATAATGTGTTGAGTTTATCATAGTAATGAATGTTAAAATGTTCTGAAATTGACTTTGAGGCAACTTACTTGGATTAACAAATCTCAGAAGAAAAAATATAAAATATTAGGACAGTGGCTATTCTTAATGATATTAGTCCCTTCTTAATTAAAACTTCCGTGTTGTATAATAATATTTTGATAAAATTCAAAACGCTGAAAATTGCTGGTGAGGATGTGGAGCAACAGGTACTCTCACACGTGGGGATCAGAAAAAAAGAAACAAATCTGCTCTTTGGAAAATAGGCTGTTTGTAAGTTTTGGGAAGGAAATACATGAGATGAGTTTGGAGCATCATGTAGCGTCTGAAAATAAGAGATTGTTTTTAAAAAAAAGAAACAGAAGAAATGATAGGATGATGAGGATATGTCAAAGAAACACAGGAGTCAACTGAGAGACCTTCCATTGTCTAAAGATGGAACAATCTGGACAACAAAACAGTAGTATTGGTTTATAACCCAAGTTTTAAAATAATAATCCATGAGTTCACATTGATAAAGAAGTGGTTGAATAAATAGAGGAGAAAAGGTACAACTCCATACAGAAGAATTACAAATAATTTATGTGATACTTTTTGCTATCAACGAGGTGAAGCATGACTCATCACTCCTTAAGCATGGGCTATGTATAGACAATTCCAATACAATGTGAAAAGAGTACAATGCTAAGGGAAGAAAAAATTAACTTTGCAGTGGAGAAGCCTGATAAACTATCAATCCCAGTGATAGTATATGCTCATGATATGATGAAATGACACTTTACTTCTGAGGACTTCCTCTCCAATACCCATAAATCCAGGCTAATAATGATGAGAAAAAAAAAATGATCAGACACATCCCAACAGAAGAACATCCTGCAAAAAAGCTGACTAGTACTACTGAAAATTGTCAAAGCCATTAAAATCTAAGTTAGTCTGAGAAACTGTCACAGCAAAAAGGATCCTAAGAAGACATGATTACTAAATGTAATATGACATACTGATGGAATCCTGGAACAGGATAAGGAAATTAGGCAACATTAAGGAAATCTCAATAAATTATAGACTTTTGTCAATGATGCATTAATATTAGTTCATTAATTGTGGCAAGTGCACTAAAAAAAAGATACTAATAATAGGGGAAGATGTGTGTGGTATATAGGGGAAGATGTGTGTGGTATATGGGATCTCTGTACTATCTTTGTGATTTTTCTGTAAATCTAAAACTGTTCTGAAATTCCTGTTTATTTTATAAATATTACCAGCTACTTGAGAGATAAATGCTTACCGATTACAGGTTTTTTTTTATTAACACAGAACTCAACATTTTTAAAAATATAGCTACAAGAATAAGAAAATTAACTGGAGAAACGCCCATTTTTCTTTAGGCCCACCACTAGAAGAAAAAGCATGTTTAGTCTAAAACCTGGAAGAGAACTGTAGATTCAGAAATATACAAGTGGTAATGTGTCCGGAATTGGTGGGTTCTTGGTCTCACTGACTTCAAGAATGAAGCCGCATACCCTCGCGGTGAGTGTTACAGCTCTTACAGTGGCGCATCTGGAGTTTGTTCCTTCTGATGTTCGGATGTGTTTGGAGTTTCTTCCTTCTGGTGGGTTCGCATCTCGCTGGCTCAGAAGTGAAACTGCAGACTTTCGCGGTGTTACAGCTCTTAAGGCGTTACAGCTCTTAAGGTGGCGCATCTGGAGTTGTTCGTTCCTCCTGGTGAGCTCGTGGTCTCACTGGCTTCAGGAGTGAAGCTGCAGACCTTTGCGGTGAGTGTTACAGCTCATAAAAGCAGTGTGGACCCAAACAGTGAGCAGTAGCAAGAGTTACAGCACAGAGCAAAAGAACAAAGCTGCCACACTATGGAAGACGACCCCAGCAGGTTGCCACTGCTTCCTCCGGCAGCCTGCTTTTATTCTTATCTGGCCCCACCCACATCCTGCTGATTGGTAGAGCCCAGTGGTCTGTTTTGACAGGGCGCTGATTGGTGCGTTTACAATCCCCCAGCTAGACACAAAGGTTCTCCAAAGCCCCACCAGAGTAGCTAGATACAGAGTGTCCATTGGTGCATTCACAAACCCTGAGCTAGACACAGGGTGCTGATTGGTGTATTTACAATCCCTGAGCTAGACATAAAGGTTCTCCACCTCCCCACCAGACTCAGAAGCCCAGCTGGCTTCACCTAGTGGATCCCGCACCAGGGCTGCAGGTGGAGCTGCCTGCCAGTCCGGCACCGTGCCCCCGCACTCCTCAGCCCTTGGGTGGTCGATGGGACTGGGCGCAGTGGAGCAGGGGGTGGCGCTCGTCGGGGAGGTTCGGGCGGCACAGGAGCCCATGGAGGGGGTGGGAGGCTCAGGCATGGCGGGCTGCAGGTCCCGAGCCCTGCCCCGCGGGAAGGCAGCTAAGGCCCGGTGAGAAATCGAGCGCAGCGCCGGTGGGCTGGCACTGCTGGGGGACCCAGTACACCCTCCGCAGCCGCTGGCCCCGGGTGCTAAGCCCCTCATTGCCGGGGCAGCAGGGCCCGCCGGCTCCTCTGAGTGCGGGGCCCGCCAAGCCCACGCCCACCCGGAACTCCAGCTGGCCCGCAAGCGCGGCGCGCAGCCTCGGTTCCGGCTCGCGCCTCTTCCTCCACACCTCCCTGCAAGCTGAGGGAGCCGGCTCCGGCCTTGGGCAGTCCAGAAAGGAGCTCCCACAGTGCAGCGGTGGGCTGAAAGGCGCCTCAAGTGCCGCCAAAGTGGGAGCCCAGGCAGAGGAAGCGCCGAGACCGAGCGAGGGCTGTGAGGACTGCCAGCACGCTGTCACCTCCCGGTAATAATCAAATCATAGTTGAGTACACATTAATTTTATAGGAAGTCCATAGAAATACTAGATTGTTTAAAGTTGCAAAACATTACAAAATGATATTTTACAATACTATTCCACAGATTCTATTTCAATTCAAGAGTAGTTTACTGTCTTCCAAGCACCTTGGGAAGTTAAATAAATAGATATGGTACTTAATATGCTTAAAGTCATGTACAGCAAAAGGCATTTATATACCATTGTGGGGTCATAGATTAAAAATGAAAAAAGTAAAGCTGCTAAAAGTAAATGAATGAAATTTTATTCATTCACAGCAGATGCCACATAAATATTTTGAGTAGATCAATTTTATTTGTGCAGGGAAATATGAAACTATAAACTTAACACATTATATTTACCCTCAAGAAGATTTTAATTAAGTTGGGGATATCAGATTTTAGTACTTGAACAACTCAGGAGGAATCAATATAAGGGTCATGGAAAGGCCTTTTAATTTAGGTCACAGTGAATTCTACCTGTTGATTCTGTTGAGGAAACTACTTGAGGCAAGGCCAGGCAAGGATACCCTGTGTCAACAAATGACCCCCATGTACCAGAGGCTAACAATGAAGTTTATTTCTCACTCACCCTACAAATTCATTCCGAGTTATTGCTATTCTCCTCCAAGGAAGCTCTACACCAAGTAAAAGAAGCTGTCTCTAACTGGGGCATTACTGATCTTGTGGTAAAGAGAAGCATGGCAAGCCACATGCTGACTCAGCAGTTCTGCTTGGCAGAGTCACATATCACTTCTGCTCAGCAGTGAAGACATATTATTTTGTTGTCCAAAGTAAGTCACATGCATACTCCTGAGTTCAGCAGAAAAGGTATATAAAGTGGAACAGTACAAGGAGGGAAAGAAAAAGTTGGCCATCAGTAACATAATCCGTGATACATATTAAATGCCACCAATACTTACTAACTTTGTGACCTTAGAAAAGTTGCATAATATTTTTATGCCTCCAACTCCTTACCAAGAAAATATGAGCAATATTTAGTCATAAAATTAAAGACAAAATGAAAATAAATATGTAAAGCATTTAAAATTAGATGGGTACTGAATAAATGATAGCTATTATTATAAATACCAAATGAATGTAAAGCTACTGTTACAGCAATGAGAGTCTTAATGGCTCAACTAAGTTTTAGACAATAATAAAGCATTAAAGATATTAATATAAAAGGTCTTATAACCTTGTATTTATTTTACCATTTTTAAAATATCATCAAATGATATAATTAAATATTATTTTGATGTATTTTTCAGAATAATTTTATTTGTCTGTTCCATAAAATATTCTGCAATTTTTAGCTGCCTGTTTGCTCTATATGATATCTTTCATGAAAGTGAGAGTCAATCTTTCCAGGATTGGATGCCTTGAACTAAATAAATCATAGCAAGACCTACATAATTGAAAACAGAAATATTGGTCTAGAGAAGGGTTTCCCCTGCCATGACAGCCATTAGCATGGTTTTTGAAATGGAGCTGTGTCTGCCAAAGGCCTTTGGGCTGAGCGTGGCTAGAGAACCAAGAGTCCCACAAAGTATAATCCAGGTTGTCTTACTGGTAAGCCAAAATCGCTGTGCTTTTTCTATGGTTTGAAATTTATCTCAAGGAAGATTTCAAACCAAAACCAAACTTGGCTAAAATTCTTAGAAAATATGAGTACTTGGGCAGCTCAGTTATGCTGAAATGCAAATGGCTGCTGACAGAGTGTCTGTCCAATTTTGGTTCCTTGAGCATGGTAGAGAGATGGAGCAGGAAGTAATTGTATTTGGCTTAAGGAGCAGGAAGCAATTGTATTTGGCTTAAATGTACTGTCCTTATCTTTTTCCCTTTTGAAAATATGAGTATTTGATTTCCATGACTCTAGTACTCTCTTCTTTACAAGTACAAAGTCTTTCTCTTTCGCTGGTAAATCTCTTTTCACATTCATATAGTTTTATCTACTTCTACTTGGATTTTATTGAATTCTTACATTTATTGCTGTTTTATGTTCTATCTTCTGCCTTTCCATCTAGTTACTAAGCTATTTACTAAACTGCTACAAAGTATATGTTCTGCATCACTTTCATTGTCTAGCACAGTACTACTATAAATAGAAGGTTATTAGTAAGCATGTGGTTTTTTATGAACTCTCTTGCCTGGTTTACAGTTCTATTTTCACCTATCTTTTCATCATTCTTTGATTATTTTGCTGTCGTATGTTAAAAATTATATATTTACTTAAAAGTAATTATGATCTGAGAAAAATATTTGATTAATTTTAACTGAGGTAACAGAGGCATTTTTAAATATTTTAGTCAGTCAATGTGGGACCTGGCTAATAAAGGAACAATGAAAATTTGAATGGATTTTACACAGCTTTCTAAAAACCTATGTTTGAGGCATTCTCAGAGGGTGGAAGGTAAAGGGGAAGCAGGTACATTTTACATGACTGGAGCAAAAGGAAGACAGAGGGGAGAGGTGCTAGACACTAGAAACCAGATCTCATGACAACTTTATTATGAGAACAACACTGAATAAATAGTGCTAAACCATTCATGAAGGATCCATTCCCAAGATTCAATCATCTCTGACCAGGCCCCACCTCCAACATTGTGGATTACCGTTAAATATGAGATTTGGGTGGAGACACAGATCCAAACCATATAACCTTCCTACCCACTGCTCTCTCAGAATTCAATATTCATAGTTTTTTATTTACTCTCTTGTATAGTTTAATGAATTCAACTTTATTTACTTCAGTGCAATATCTCCAACCCCATATGCCAAGGAACTACCTTGGGGTTTTTCTTAGTAACACATTATAAATTTGTCTACCAGGGAAATGACCCAAAACTCAACTGACTCATTGGAACTTGAACTTTGGCCAGGAATTCATTTATGGCAAGGCCCCAAATACCTTCACTCTAACAGAGGGTCCATGATGATTTCTTGTGTCCAGCTTTCCTCAAAATACTTGGTTATTTTTTTTCTTCAGTGTACCATTACTAAAGCAATTGGCCATAGATCCTGTCTTAATCTGTTTTCTGTTGCTATAACTAAATACCTAAACTTGGGTAATTTATAAAGAAAAAAAAAATCTACTTCTTACAGTTCTAGAGGCTGAGAAGCCCAAGGCTGAGGAGCTACATTTGGTGAGGGCCTTGTCACTGATGGAGACTCTCTGCAGAGACCTGAAGTGGCACAGGACATCACATGGCAACAGAGCTCATGACAGACAGCCAGATTGGCATTTTGTAACAGACCCACTCTCATGAGAACTAACCTACTCCCTTGATGACTCATTGATCCACTAACACATTAATTCATAAATAGATTAATCCATTCATGAGGTCAGTGCCCTCATGATCCAATCACCTCCAAAAGGTCCTCCTCTGGACACACTAGTGCAGGGTTAGGCACCCAAAGTCTCAGGCGGCCTGACTCCTATAGCTTTTCTGAACGTGGCCCACATTTCAGCTCTCTGGCTGGGGTCATAAACTTGTGGCTCTGCAGTTCTGGAGTCGTGGTGGTGGGCCCGCTTTCATGACTACATTAGGCATTACCCTAGCAAGGACACTCTGATGCAGCTCTAACCCACATTTAATGCTCATTGCTCAAGTGGAGGTTCTTTGTGGTGGCTCTGCCCCTATAGCAAGTTTCTCTCTGGGCCTCTAAGCAGTCCAATACATCCTTTGAAATCTCAGTGGAAGCTGCCATGCTTCCACAGTTCTTGCATTTTGTACACCTCTAGAATTAGCAACATGTTTACAGTACCAATGCTTAATTCTAGAGCCACTGCTCAAGCTGCATCTGAGCCCACTTGAGCCCAAACCTGGCACTGCAAAGGTTTACAGCATTGGCAGCCAAGGAGCACTATGCTGGGATGCTGTGAGCAGAGTCCCAAAACAGCTTTAGGCAGCAAGCCTGTGAAGGATGCCTGAGCATGATCCACAAATCCATTCTGCCTTCCTAGTTCTCTGCGTCTGTGATGGATGGGGAAGCTTTGAAGATCTCTAAAATGCTTTTGAAATCTCCCACTGTTCTGATGAATAACCTCTGACTCCCTTCTATCAGTGCTAATCTGTTTCGCAAGTGGTTGCTTAGCCACATCCTAACAGGATTTTTTTAATATGGCCAGTCTGTAAATTTTACAAATGTTTACATTCTACTTCCCTTTTAATTACAAATTCTGTCTTTTAATCATCTGTTTGTTCCCAAAGCTCACTATGAGCAGCCAAATGAACCACACAGCCTCTTTACTGCATAAAATTTTTTTCTGGCAGATATTCTAGCTTATCATTCTCAAGTTTGACCTTCCACCAAACCCTAGGGTATGAATACAATGCGGCCAAGTTATTTGCTACTTTATAACAAGGATGACCTTTATTCCAGACTCCAGTATGTTGTTCTTCTTTTCCATTTGAGGCCTCATCAGAATGTTTTTACTGTCCACCTTTCTATCAGCATTCTGGTCGTGATTATTTAAGTAATCTCTGAGAAGTTCCAGACTTTCCCTACTTTTCTTGTCTTCTAAGCCATCACCAGAATCAGCCTTAATGTGCCATTTACAGCTTTCTAGGCCTTTTCTAGCTTTCTCCTTCAAATTCTTCTAGCCTCTGCCCATTATCCAATCCCAAAGATGTGTTCACATTTTCAGGTATTCTTTATTAGCTATACCCCCACTCCTATACCCCCACTCCTGGTACCAATTTCCTGTCATATGCTGTTTTCTATTAGTATAACCAAATACCAGAAATGGATAATTTATAAAGAAAAGAAATATATTTCTTACAATTCTGGAGACTGAAAAGTTTAGGGCCAAAGGACCACATCTGGTGTTAGCCTACTTGCTGGTGAAGACACTTAGTAGAGTTAGTTCCAAGCTGGAACAGGGCATCTAATGGCAAGGAGGCTGACTAAAAGCAAAATTGGCTTTTATGACAGACCCACTCTTGTGATAACTAACCTAATCCCATAATACCCATCAATCCATTAATCTAATAATCCATGAATAGATTAATCCATTCATGTGGGCAGGGACCTTATGACCCAATCAACACTTAAAGGCCACACATATTAATACCATTACATTAGAGATTAAGTCTCAATATGAGTTTAAGAGGGGACAGATTTTCAAACCATAGCAAATACTTTTGGAAAAAGTCAAGTAATATCACTATATATATATAACGTGTGGTGTCACAGAGTCTTTATTCCTGAGGAATTGACCCTTCCTTCAGTCAATCGGCTCTGGTTCTAAAAACTTGCTCAATTCTTGATGCTGGTTAAGAGGTTATAAATTTTTATTGGAGAAGCTGATTATCTATCCTCGATTTCTCTTGATTGAGTAAAACTATATTGATAGCTATAGATTCGGCAGTACTTTTTCTGGCTGACCATAGACCATATTTGTAGACTGAGCAAGACTCTTTTTGGTTAACCATTTACATTGACCATAGGGATGCCATGTTTTGTTGATCATTTCCATAGCTTTTACCTGTCAAGAACATCTGCCTAAGAGGCCAACTTTGTTGCTCTTTATGATAATGCAGTGCTTTACATTTGATGGCTAACTGCCTCTACTTGACCTCTGTTTGGAGGTCCTATTATTTTCATTGTTATCTGTAATACCATATTTTCTATCACTTTAGTAAATGGGGTATCCTCTCGGTGATTCTAAGGAACATAGCTGTTGAATTTTGGGGGCTTACATGCTTTATCTGCTTTAGTAGCACTTCTCTGATCCTTGTATCTTCTTTCACTGTCTATTACAAATGTTCTTTGATTGTATATTTTCCTGGAAAAGGCCATCACTTTCTTGAAGCTTCTAAAAACTATCTCATTGGCATGGTGAAATTGTCTAAGTAACAAAATATATGGACCACAGAAGAGCAATCCCATATCAATAAATTCTTCCTTCTAAAACCTACAATTTCTTTCTTTTTTATAATTTTTAATTGATACATAATAATTGTACTTATGCAGTAGAGGATATTTCGATAAATGTATACAATGGGTAATAATCAAATCAGGTAATTAGCATATGTGTCATCTAAAAAAATTTGTCATTTCTTTGTGTTGGGAACATTCAAAATTCCTCTAGCTTTTGAAAATATATGATATATTATTAATTATAGTTATACTACAGTGTCATAGAACACTAGAACTTACTCCTGTCTAGCTGTAATTTTGTATTCATTAACTACTACCAGTCCCAGTCTCTAGTAACCACTACTCTGTTCTCTAATTCTATGAGATCAATTTTTTAAACATCCACATATAAGTGAAAACATGTGGTATTTATCTTTCTGTGCCTGTCTGAATTCATTTAATATAATGTCCTCCTGGCTTATCCATGTTGCCCAAATGACAAGATTTCATTCTTTTTTGTGGATTAATTTTATTCCATTGTGTATATATACTGTACTTTATTCATTCATCTTCTGATAGACACTTAGTTTGATTTCATATCTTGGCTATTGTGAATAATGCTGCAATGAACATGGGAGTGCAGATATCTATTTGATTTCTATTCCTTTGGATACATACCTAGCAGTAAGATTGCTGGATCATATGGTAGTTGTGTTTTTAGTTTTTTTTGAGCAACCTCCATACAGTTTTCCATAGTGACTGTACTAATTGACATTTGCACTAGCAGTGTATAACAGTTCCCTTTTCTCTGCATTTGTTGTGTTTTGTCCTTTTGATAATTACCATTCTAACTGGAGTGAGATGATATCTCATTGTGTTGGTTTTGATTTGTATTTCCGTGATGTTAAGCATTTTAAAATATACTATTTGGCCATTTGTATGATTCTTTTGAGGAATGTCTATGCAGATCAATTGGCCAATTGTTATTTGGATTGTTGATTCATTCTGTTGATTGTTTCCTTTGCTGTGTGGAAGCTTTTTACTTAGATATAATCCCATGTATCCATTTTCACTTTTGTTGCCTGTGCTTTCAGTAACTTATTTATAAAAATATTTGCCCAGACCAATGTTATTGAGTTTTTCTTCTAAGTTTTCTGCTAATACTTTCACAGTTTCTCATCTTATATTTAATTTTCTTTAACCTATTTTGTGTTTACGGTTATTTGTGGTGAGAGATAATGGTCTAATTTCATTCTTCCAAATATAGACATTCAGCTTTCCCGGCACCATTTATTGAAGAAACTGTCATTTCCCCAATAAAATGTTCTTGATAGCTTTGTTAAAATCACTTAGCTGAATATATGTAGATTTATATATGGTTTTCTATCTGAACTCAGAGTGGAACAGAATTAATATTCTGTTCTATTGACCAATGTGTCTGCTTTTATACCAGTACCATGCTATTTTGATTACTATAGATTTGGTATATTTTGAAGTCAGGCAGTTGATTTCTCTTTGTTCTTTTTGCTCAGCATCACTTTGACTATTTGAGATCTTCTGGAGTTCTACACAAATTTAATTTTTTCTCTATTTTTGTGAATAATGGCATTGGTGTTTTGATAGGAATTGCATTGAATCTGTAGATTGCTTTAAGTTTTATAGCCATTTTAGCAATATTACTTCTTCCATTCCATGGACATAAGATGTGTTTCCGTTTTTTTAGCGTCCTCTTCAATTATTTTAATCAGTATTTTTTAGTTTTTATTGTACAGGTGTTTTGAACTCCTTGATTAAATTTATGCCTTGATATTTTAATTTTTCTAGCTTTTATAAATGGTGATGGCTTTCTTAATTTTTTCTTCAGATAGTTCATTATTGGTATATTGAAAAAACTACTAATTTTTGCATATTGATTTTGTATCCTGCAATTTTAGTGAATTTATCCATCAGTTTTAAGATTTTTTTTGTGTGTGAAGTCTTTAGGTTTTTTCCTGTATAAGATCACATTATCTCAAACAGAAACATTTTTGCTTCCTATTTTCCAATTTAGGAAAATTTCTAAATTGGAATTTCACTGGCTAGTACTTTCTGTATTATATTCAATAAGAGTGATGAAAGTGGACATCTATGTCTTGTTCCAGTTTTTACAGGCAAAGATTTCAATTTTTCCCCATCCATATGATATTAGTTATAGGTTTTCTGCATATGGCCTTTACTATTTTTAGGTATGTTCCTTTTATGCCTAATTTGTGAGAGTTTTTACCATGAAGGGATATTGAATTTTATCAAATACTTTTTCTGTGTTTATTGAGATGGTGATATAACTTTTGTCCTTCATTCTGTTGATGCAATGTATCATATTTATTGATTTGTGTATATTTGACCACCCTTGCATTCCGGCATGAATCCTACTTGATCATGGTGTCTAATCATTTTCATGTGCTGATTAGATTTGTTTTTCTAATATTTTTGTTGTTTTTTTCTAGTATGTTTTTTTAAATTATTTTTTTCCTGGAATCCTTTCTTGAAGTTTCCTAGTATTTTGTTGAGGATTTTTGTATCTATATTCATCAGGGATATTGCCCTGTAGTTTTTTATTCTTTTGTGTCCTTGTCTAATATCAACATTAAAGTAATACTGGCCTTATAAAAATAAGTTTGGACAAATTTCCTCCCCTTCAATTTTTTGTAATATTTTGAAAGGAATTAGTGTTAGTTCTTCTCTAAATGTCTGGTGGCATTTGTTCAGAAATTTATCTATTTTATCTAGGTTTCCCAATTTGTTGGCATACAGTTGTTTATGATAGTGTCTACCTATCTTTTGTATATCTGCACTATCAATTATAATTTCTCTTTTTTCATCTCTGATTTTATTTATTTGGATCTTCCTTTGTTCTTGGTCTAGCTAATGATTTGCTGATTTAAAAAAATCTTTTTAGTGAATTAATTTTTCATTTTGTTGATCCTGTGTGTGTATGTGTGTGTGTGTGTGTGTGTGTGTGTGTGTTTTAAGTCACTATTTTGTTTATTTCTGTTTTGATCTTTTATTATTATTATTATTTCTACTACTTTGAGGTTTGGTTTGCTCTTGCTTTTCTGGTTCCTTGAGGTATAACATTAGGTTGTTTATTTGAAATCTTTTTACTTTTTTGATGTAGGCATTGTCTGCTTTAAACTTCCCCCTTAGTACTTCATTTGCCATATCTTATGGGTTTTGATATGTTGAGGTTTCTATTTTCATTTGTTTTAAGACATTTTGAAATTTCTTTCCTAATTTTTTACTGATGCATTGAGTCACTCAGGAACATGTTGTTTAATTTCGATGTATTGTACTTTTTCCAAAGTCCTTATTTTATTCAATTGTGATCACAAAAAATACTTGTTATGATTTCAGTTTTTAAAAATGTGTTGAGAATTGTTTGCTCACCTAACATATTATCTATCCTGGAGAATGTTTCATGTGCGAATGAGAAGAGTGCATATTATGCAGCTATTGATTAAAATGTTCTGCAAATGTCTTTTAGGTCCATATGGTCTATATTAGAGTATAAATCCAATTTTATTTTGTTAATTTTCTGTCTAGATATTCTGTCCAATGCTAAGAGTGGGGTGTTAAAGTGTTAAAAACCTCACCTCTTATTGTATTGGGGCCTACCTCTCCTTTTAGATCTAATAATAATTTTTCTTTCCTTTTTTTTTTTTTTTTGTTGTTGTTGTTGAGACGGAGTCTCGCTCTGTCGCCCAGGCTGGAGTGCAGTGGCGCCATCTCGGCTCACTGCAAGCTCCGCCTCCTGGGTTCATGCCATTCTTCTGCCTCAGCATCCCGAGTAGCTGGGACTACAGGCGCCCGCCACCACGCCCGGCTAATTTTTTTGTATTTTTAGTAGAGACAAGGTTTCACCGTGTTAGCCAGGATGGTCTCTATCCCCTGACCTTGTGAGCTGCCTGCCTTGGCCTCCCTCTTTTTTCTTTTTTCTTAGAGACAGGGCATCACTCTATCAAACTGGCTGGGGTGCAGTGGCATGATCATAGCTTACAGTAACCTCAAACTCCTAGGCTCAAGTGATCCTCCTGCCTCAGCCTCCCAAGTAACTAGGACTATAGGCATGTACCACCACACCCAGCTATTTTTTTATTTTTACTTTTTTATAGAGGCAAGGCTCACTATGTTGTCCAGGCTGGTATTAAACGCCTATGCTCAAGTAATCCTGCCTCAACCTCCAGAAATGCTGAGATTACAGGTATGAGCCAAGATCTTGCCTGGCCAAGATCTAATAATATTGTCTTTATATATTTGGGTGCTCCAGTGTTGGGTGCATATATATTTACAATGATTATATCCTCTTGCTGAATTGATTCATTTTTCATTACATAATGACCTTATTTGTCTCTTTGTGTAGTTTTGACTTGAAGTCTATTTTATTTGATATTAAGTATGGCTACTTCTGCTTGCTTTTGGTTTCTGTTTGCTTGGACTGTCCTTTTTCAACCCATCACTTTCAATCTATGTGTGTCTCTGAAGGTGAAAGGAGTTTCTTGTAGGCAACCTATAGTTGGGTCTTATTTCTTTTTTAAAAAACTCATTCACCCAGTCTATATCTTTTAATTGAGAAGTTTAATCTATTTATAGTCAAAGTTATTAATGATAGGTGAGGGCTCACTCCTATCATTTTGTTAATTGTTTTTTGGTTGTTTTGTACATCCTTTTATTTTTTTCTTACTCTATTGTTTATTTTCACAATTTGTTTTTTGTTGTTCTGGTAAAGTTTGCTTCCTTTCCCTTTCTCATTTGTGTATCTGTTCTATCAATGAATTTCATACTTTCATGTATTTGCATAATGGTAGTTATTGTCCTTTTGCTTCCAAATGTAGGACTTCTTGAAGCATGTCTTGTAAGATTGGTCTAGTGGTGATAAACTCTTTCAGTTTTTGCTTGCCTGGGACTTAATTTCTCCTTCATTTCTGAAGCTTTGGTGGGCATAATAATCTTGGCTATTTGTGTTTTCTTTCAGCACTTTGAATATATAATGTCATTCTTTTCTAGTCTAGTAAGGTTTCTGCTGAGAAATCTGTCAGTCTAATGGAGATTACTTAGTATGGGACTTGACTCTTTTCTATTACTACTTTTTTATTTCTCCTTTTATCTTTGACGTTTCACAGTTTGACTATAATATGCCTGTGAGATGAGTTGTTCAGGTTGAATCTATTTGGAAACCCTACTAAACTGGATGTTCATATTTCTACTAAGACTTAGGAAGTTTTCAGTTATTCTTTTATTAAATAGGCTTTCTATGCCCTTTCCTACATATTCATCTTCTGGAATTCCGTAATGTAAATATATTTTTGCTTAATGATGTCCCATATGTCCCATAGGCTTTATTCATTTTTTTTTCACGTTCTTTGTTTGTCTTACTAGGTTATTTCAAAAGACCTGTCTTCATGTTCAGAAATTCTTTCTTATATTTGATTTTGTCCATTGTTGAAACTCTATTGTATTTTATATTGCATTTCTTGAATTGTTTATTTAAGATTTCTTTTAGGCTCTTTTTTATTATATCTTTCTTGTTAACTTTCTTATTCAGATCAGAATGGCTTTCCTAATTTTGGGAATTGTATATCTGTAGTCTTTTGTACCTCACTGAGTTTCTTTAAGATCATTATTTCAAATTTCTTTTCAGCTATTTCACAGATTTTTTTTCTTTTTCTTTTTCTTTCTTTCTTCTTCTTTTTTTTTTTTTTTTTTTTTTTTTTTTTTGAGACAGGGTGTCACTTTGTTACCCAGGGTGGAGTGCAGTGGTGCAGTCTCGGCTCACTGCAGCCTTGACCTCCTGGGCAAAAGTGACTGGCCTACCTTAGCCCCCCAAGTAGCTGTGACTACAGGCACATATTACCATGATTGGCTATTTTTTTTTAAATTTATTTTTAGTAGAGACATGGTTTTGCCATGTTGGCCAGGCTGGTCCTGAACTCCTCTCCAACAGGAGTTTGGGACCTCCTCAAGGAGGAGTTCACTCCTCAAGTGAACCTCCTGCTTCAGCCTCCCAAAGTGTTAGGATTACAGGCATGAGCCACCATGCCTGGCCAGATTTCTTTTCTTTAGTATCTATTACTGGATAGTTATTGTGTTCTTTTGTAGGTGTCATGTTTTTGTGTTTTTTTTTAATGTTTCTTGTGTCTTTATATTGATATCTGCACATGTGATTGAACAGTCACTTCTAATTTTATGGAGTAGCTTTCATAGGGAAATACTGTTTCTGTAGATGTGTCCTATAGTGTTTGTTGGGAGGGTACGTTGGCTTTGGTCCTGGGTGGATGCAATGGTGTAGTGTTTGTGTTATATCTTTGGTTATTATCAATGTTAGCAGTGTCTGTGAGTGTTTCAGTGGTTTAGATTATTTTCAGTGTTTCTGTAAGCAGTTGTGTGGCTTTGCAGGGGGCAGGATTGTCTGTGGCAGTGAACACCATATGGGCTGTTCCTTGAGCCCTGGGAAGCACATGCATGGCACGTGACATCTCTGCCTGTGGAGGGGACATCATCAGTGGCAGTAGTAGCTGCTATGTGGCTGACTCCCAGGCCTGCGGAGTGTTCTCATTGGCTCGCTTAGTCCTGATGTGGCCCGCTAATCTGCTGAACTGCCTGTTTTTAAGGAAATAGGAAATGCCATGGACCTGGGTAAGGTCTATGGCTGTACCACTAGGTGCTTGTAGAGTCACTCTGTTGCAGCTTTAGTGTGGGCATAGCAGAGTGGCAGTAGAGCCCCAGGAATGTGGTGACACAAGAATTATTGGGTCTCAGGGCATGCTGTATTCCAGCAATGACTCAATTCTCAAAATGGTACCATGCCGCAGCAGTTTGAATACTGAGAAATTGGGAGGACCCAACATGAATTCCCTTTCTAGAGCAGTGTGGGAACATGGATTGCAGAAAACTCCCTATACAAGGCTCAGAGCCTATGAGAACATGGGAAGTCCCTCCTGACTCCAGGCTAATCCCAGCTGGGTACTTCACTTCCCTCTCTATGTTGCCTGAGTATTCATTCTTCAGAGAGTTTTTCTTTTTTTTTGTTGTTGAATTCTGGTGTTTTTCTTTAGACACTACGCAAAGTGCAGTTATGTATTTGTTGTTATAATCTTTCCTTATGGAGGAAAGGAGTGTTGGGTACCTTTATTCAGCTGTCTTGACATTTTTTTCTCTTGATACTCAAATGTACCATTTATTTCTCTTGACCCTCAAATGTTCTTCTAGTTCCTGTAAATCTATAGCTTCTGCAGCACTTTGGGTATATAAGGCGGACCATTAGCATGCTCAGTACTTACTTTTCCAGGTTATATTGTGACTTTACTCTAGTTATTGGTTTATTGGCCCAGAAAATAGGTGGGTGCAGATCCCAAAGGGGATGCATATTTAAGACTCATTAATCCTCTAAAAGCAGGTGAGAATTGCAAACCATTAAGCCTCTTATGTGGGCTTAGAGGATTCAAAATGATCTGTGTATTCAGTTGTTTGACTAAATTGATCCACATGCCCCATTCTATGTCTCAGATTCTCATTTCTTCTTAATAAAAGCCTAGAATTTTGTATAATAGACTTTCAGTTTGTAAATCCAATCTGTTCAGGAACAAGCCTCCTCTCTAAGTTCTGACCCTTATCTTCACCTTTTTTTTCTGTCTGTCAAGGCACTCTGTGTTTCATAGTTTGCATTAAGTTGATGAACAATTACTCTTAGCAGACAATTTTTTTTCCAATTAATATATCCACATGCCCAAGCAACAGCTATTCAGTTGCATAGTTCTTATATCTAATTTCTCCAAACTCTTAAATATCTAGGTACATTAGCCAATTTTCATACTGCTATGAACAAATATCTGAGACTGGGTAATTTATAAGGAAAAAAGAAGCTTAATGAACTCACAGTTCCACATGGCTAGGTAGGCCTCACAATCATGGTGGAAGGTGAAGGAGGAGCAAAAGCATGTCTTACATGGTGGCAGACAAGAGAGCATGTGAAGGGGAAATGCCCTTTATAAAACCATCAGATCTCATGAGATTTATTCACTATCAAGAGAATAGCATGAGAAAACCCACCCCCACGATGCAATTACCTCCCACTGGGTCCCTCCCATAACACATGGGTATTATGAGAACTACAATTCAAGATGATATTTTGGTGGGGACACAGCCAAACCGTATCACCAGGTTATTTCATTTGCCAGCTGTTTTAGTCTGTTTGTGTGGCTATACAGGAAATACCTGAGGCTAGGTAATTTATCAAGAAAAGATGTTTAATTGGCTCATGGTTCTGCAGACTGAACAAGAAGCATGGTACCAGCATTTGCTTCTGGCAAGGGCATCAGGAAGCTTTCACTCGTGACAGAAAGGGAAGGGGAACAGGCATCACATGGTAAGAGAAGAGGAAATCAAGAGGAGGGAGGTGTCAGGCTCTTTTTAACAATCATATCTCATGAGAAATAATACAGTAAGAAGTCATTCATTACTGCAAGGATGGCACCAAGCCCTTTGCTAGTGATTACCCCCATGACTCAAACTCTTCCCACCAGACCCCACCTCCAACATTGGAGATCACATTTCAACATGAGATTTGGGGGGAACAAAAATTCAAACTGTATCTCCAGTGTATTCCTTTCCACAGGTATCCAATTACATTTCACTACTTTTATCAATTGCACTGCTACTGCATTAGCAACCAGTTCTACTGCATTAGAATGCAGTTCTACTGGGTTATTAGTCCTATTAGTTATTAGTTAGTTATAGACTATTGTTCTATTAGTTTAGTTATAGACTAACCAATAGCCTATTGGTTATTAGTTTTATTAATTCTGCTGCACTGGGTTCTACTGCATTAGAACCCAGACAGGTTCTATCAGTATTCTACACATCTGCAGTGATTAATCCTGATTGTCAACCTGTCAAAAGTGATCTTGCTCAAAAATCTCATTTTAGAGTTTGCCGTGTAGGACCACTCTCTGTTTTAATTTCCATAGGTCAAATCCCTGTGGAAATAGACTTTGTATTGGAAATTTGCAGCAACAAAAACTGTTAAGTAATAGGAAAGCAGGATTAGGCACTGGGTTTTTATTGCAACCGAGACCTCAAATGATTCTATAGGGAACTCTATAGCTGGAATATACTTACAGAAATGTTTATAATTAGGGGAATTTATGCTTCCTATTTAGACTAGTCATTGCATGTAGCCTGCCCTGAAGATGAAGTGTATTCTTAGGTGAGGCAGCTCCTTTTGGCAGAAGGAAATTCCTAGAGGGGAATTCAGCTATGTTCCATCAGGGGAAAATACTACAAGTGTTTGGTAGAAGGAATGCTTCAAGCTTATGGAGTATCTGAGAGGCAGAAACATAACATCCAGCATCAACCTCAAACACTGTATGGTAGTATGCCTCTCTATGTTTTATATGTATAATAAAATTATCTCACACGCAATACATTTAAATTATATCCTATTATAGTTAATGTTTCTTCTGTGCAATTATGATAGACAATATTTTCAGATGGCCCCCAAGATTCTTATCCCCTGGTGTATATACCCTATATAATCCCTTTTTCTTGATGTGAGCCAGACCAGTGAATATAATGTGATATCACTTCCATAGTTAGGTTACTAATCAATTGAGTTCATAAAAAGGAAGATTATCTTGGGTGGACCTGGCATAACCAAGTGAAACCAATAAAAGAAAGTGGACTGACAGAGAGACACTCTCCCACTGACCTCTAAGAAACAGTAAATTCCCGTGTTTTTAGAGGGTCTGTAAATGGAAGTCCTCTAGATGCTAAGAGAGACCTCTGGCTGACAGCAAGAAAATGGGGATGCCAGTCATACAATCACAAGGTAATAAATTCTGCCAATGACCTGAATGAACTTGAAAAAGGACGCTGAGTCTCAGATAAGATAGTAGTTCCAGCCAAAAGCTCAA
Organism: Homo sapiens; assembly: GCF_000001405.40. Taxonomy (NCBI): domain Eukaryota; kingdom Metazoa; phylum Chordata; class Mammalia; order Primates; family Hominidae; genus Homo; species Homo sapiens. Next base: position 188,622,800 of record NC_000002.12, read on the forward strand.
TTTCAGCCTCTATGATGCTAAGCAGTGAATCCAGCTAAGCCATGCATAGACTTCTAACCTACAGAAACTGTGACATAATAAATGGATGTTATTTTAAGCCACTAAATTTATGGTACTTTGTTATGCAGCAATTGATCACTAATCACCAACATTTAAGACACTCTACAACTGAACCTCAACTTAGCCATCTTGTAATATTTCTCAAGATTAGGAAAAACGAAAACATTATTTCAGTATTTTCCAGCTTCTCTCAGTTCCCTCCAAACACATGGTTCTCATTCCTGCCTCTGTATTTGTTCCCAGAATGTGGCCTTTATGTGGAATCCTCTCTTTATCCACTCCATTTATCTAAATCTTACAAATTCTTCAAGATCCAAGAGCCACATCTTCTAAACTGCATTTTATTTATATTTTCTCTTATCTCTTATGGCACATAAAGACTCATTAATTACATGGCAGATTTATCCAAGTAGAACCCAGTCTGCCTTTCAGGCCGACATCATGAAATGTTACAAAATGCTCTTTTTCTGACCAACTTCACAAAATGTGACAAATACTTAGAAAGAGGGGTATTCAATGCCCTGCTTTTTCCTGCTTCCTTGTCAACCCAAGCTTAAGTTGTGTGCATTAAGGACAGGGTGGCAAATGAAATAGATGGATATGTCCTATAGAATGGGATCCTAATGAACAAGTGGATTTAGGGGGCAGGAGGGACTTTATAGATCATTTATTCCAACCACTCCATTATGCAGACAATAAAAATGAAGCTCAAATAGTTTAGGGGCCCAATGTTTTACAGTTAAGTTAGAATAAAAAATGAATATCTCCTAATTCCCAATCTAATAAGTTTATAATCAGAAAAAAAAAATTAAGAGCTTAAAAAAGAAAAAAAAATATGTTTGACTAACTTATAAATAACTATTAACTTGATTTAATGAGTGATCAAATAACATAGTAGTTAAGCAGTGGGTTCTAGGTCCCTACATCTTGGGTGTTGATTCTACATCTGCCACCGGTGAGGTATTGTTCTTTTTCATTTTAATTATGAAGGAATCAAGAAGATCCAAATGTGATGTTTCATTTAAAAAATGTGGACCTGATCTTCAATGAACACTAATATGTTTGTTTAAAGTGAAAATATGTATGAAAATTTTAAAATGCACAATATAATTGTTGTTTATTGGAAGCGCAAGCAGAACTAATGTTTTTGCCTTTTTTGTTGAGAGAGGCAAAATGTGCTTATTATCAAAGTAGTCCTTTAGGTTTTACATAGTTATCTGGAAAAACTGGAGATTACATTGCTTTCTTTCCAGAAGACTTCACACTTTTAATCACTACCAATACACGCTGGCCTGATGTGAAACCTGAGACTCTCATATCAAAAGCTGAGCCTTAGGAAGAAAAGGAAAACAAAACCCTCTCAAATAACTCGTTGCATATAATGCATTCAATTACTGGATATTCTTCTTCTGGTAATATCTCATTAACCTTATAGATCACAATTTGATGATAATTTTTTACAAAGAAAAATATAGTTTTGTGGGAGAACAATTTACTTTTCCTCCTCCTTTTCTTGCGTGACCTGACCAAAGACTGAACCCATCACTGAAACTGTGCTGTTTCCACTTTAGTTTATTCCCTGATGTGAAATGATATCATGTTTCCGTTGTTTCTGGATAAACTCAAGCAGGAACTAAACCTCAACATGTCTTGTGGCTTTGATCTAAGCCTCTGTGTATGGTTCATAAGCCTCAGACAGTGCTCTTGTAAAATATCTACAAACTGTATTTCTTATAAAACTTTTAGGCTTTATTGAAGTGAATATGGTGAATTTCATGCCTTGATCAGTCTCTGCTTTTCCAAATGCTTGACATGAAAGGAATATAACCTGCCTATCATATAAATAAATTTTTTTAAGAAATATATTTTTTCCCTTACAAACTCGAATTTAGCATTTTTTTCATGAATGTAACCCTGTTAACCCATAGTTTTTATAATTTTTGTTATTGTCTTTCTATATCTCAACATCACTGACACTTGTCCAAACAGCTCAATAGTCTGATTTTAAATAAAATCAATAAAATGTTAAATAACAAAAAAAAACCTCTCTTGGTTCAAATGTCATCAAGTAACTTTTTCATATTGTTCTTGTCTGACATTAAAGTTAAAAAGCAGATTTAATCAATAACGTATAGTGAATGTTCAGCTCTCTGAGGTCAGATTTGGGAGGCAAAGAGTCACCGTGAGTGGCTGCTCAATTCTCCTTCCTTTGTGTTCCTAGTCAGTTCTAGATGTCATTATAGACATCATATCAAATCCTTGGAGACACAATAAATCTTACCTGTCATCTCATCTAGAAGGCTTCTTTACCAGTGTACTACCTCCTCACCTTCATACCAGAGACATTCATTATGTAACTCAGATTAGCACTTGATAAATAGTTCACATATCACCCATATAGAAATATGTTTACATTTACCCTTTCTTGTCTTCTCCCAGCCTAATATACACACAAACATATATAGAACCATGTACTATTTGGTATATGCCCTATATTTTATCCTTGTATTTTAATGATGAATTAAGGGACGCATAAAGGGATTTTTGTTGAAAGAAGATGTAGCAGTCCTTGAACTCCTAATAAAAGTTAAAATTGAATAAAATTTATAATCAATTAAAATGTTTAGAAGTAATATGAGATATATTTCATGTGGCCTACCCAGTATTTATTTTCCCTTTCTTCCTTACCAAGAGAACTCCAATTTTGCTCAATATGGTAACGTGCCCACCTAAAATTACCTACCCCCCATACTCCTTTGTAACTATGAAAGCACCTTTATGGCTAAGTCTATAATATTTCTTGATATGAAAGGTAAGAGTTCATTGGAAATTCATTGCTTTTCTGCCTTTTCCTTCTTTGAACTCAGGCATGGTGCCTAGATGTTCACCAGCCAGTCTGTCCTCTAAGAATGAAAGCCAGACATTAAAGATGGCAGATAACATACATCAAACCCTCTTTAATGGCATGATGGGAGGCCCCCATGCCAATCCTGAGTTATCTACCTCTGATTTCTTCCTATGAAAGAAAAAAAATGGCCAAACCACTAGATTCAAGTTTCTATTGCATGCAACCAAACACACTCCAAAATAACTAAAATGTATATTTAAAAGGAGGAAAAAGGAATGTTTACGCGCTGTTGGTGGGAGTGTAAATTAGTTCAGCCACTGTAGAAAGCACTTTGGAGTTTTCTCAAAGAACATAGAACTACCATTTGATCCAGCAATCTCATTACTGGGAATATACCCAAAGGAAATTAAATCATTCTACCAAAAAGACACATACACTTATGTTCATCACAGCATTATTTATGATAGCAAAGACATGGGATCAACCAAGATGCTCAGCAACAGAGGAATGGAAAAAGAAAATGTGGTACCATAGATACTACACAGCCATAAAAAAGAATGAAATCATTCCCTCTGCAGCAACATAGATGCAGATGGAGACCATTATCCTAAGCAAATTAATGCAGAAACAGAAAACCAAATACTGCATATTCTCACTTACAAATGGGAGCTAAATATTGAGTACACACAGACACAAAGATGAGAACAATAGATACTGAGGATTACTAGGGGCTAGCAAGGGTTGAAATGCCACCTATCAGGTACTATGCTCACTAGCTGGATGACAGGATCATTCATACCCCAAACCCCAGTACATGCAACTTAGCCATGTTAACAAGCCTGAACGTGTACCCCCAGACCTAAAAAAAAAAGTCGATAAAAAAATTAACCAGTAAAGTCTTACAGTGACAGTCCTATAACTCAAATTTCTGTCTCCTCAAATTTTATTTGAATTTTCCTGGCTGGAAGCAAAATAGTGAAACCTTTTTTTCAGTTAGCAGGTTTCCTGGTAGGCAAGTTTAGGAACAAAAATGGTAAGTTGAACTTCTTCCTATTTTATAAAAAATGAACACAAATTTCATAGGTTAATATAGATAATAATTGATCTATCCATATTAAAAATTTAATGCAGATTTTATAATTTTATACATTCTGTCTCTTATTATTAACAAGGATTTACCGTCTTTTAGACAAAATAAGATTTGAAAGGATTTGAATGTTCATATAGTCATGAATGTCTTTATCTTCCAGGTATTTCTTCTCTATGGAGAAGTGAAACACACTTTGTCTATAACTATACATACGTTTTCCAGTATAGCCCAATTTCAATAATGCTTGCATGCCATGTGCCCTGATTTAAAAAAATCATTATATGCTTCATTATTTTATAAAACTCTCCCTGTGAACTATATCATATTTGAAATGAATTATAGGGTCCTTTGGGTTTTGTTTCTTTTTCTTTCACTCAGTAAAACAAATTATTTTAAAGTTTTATTCCTTTACACACTTTAGGAATTCTATTTTTCTTTTTGCATGTGGATCCTTTGCCCTCTTTTTTTTAACCTAAGTTATCCCCTTGCTCAAAGCTTTTAATACCCCTTCCTCCAGTCTCTGTCTGATACTCAATGCCTTCTACAGCATAATCCTATAATGATACAAAGGGGAAAGAGTCAGTTGGAAAAGTCTTATACTTCTCCCTTTTCTTTCTTGGAACATAGGCATTATGCCTTGATGTGCAATAGTCAGTTTGTGCTACAAGCAGCTTCTCAATTATGTCTCCTCCTACGTTCCTGTGCAAGAGGAGGCTGGATCTAGGCATTCTAAAATGGTAGAATGCAAATTGCATTTATTTCTAAAGGTTCATTTTCGAGGCAGCTCTGAGTCCATAATGTTTATGAAACCCCTTCGTAGTGGAGCTCTAAAGACCTATTAAAGATACAAAACTTTTTGAGGTCCTTGGAGACCTGTGTGTTTGGAACAGAGATCTGTTTTATTGCCAGATTATGGAGCTAAGATACAGGGAGAGTGAAAGGCATGTCTCTAAATTATATGCATGTCAGTGGAGATGTTACAAATCACCTCCCAGCTGATTGGTCTCCAGCTTGATAGTTCCATTCTCCAAACCTAATCTTAAATGCACTATTACACAGTTACAGTCTTGATGCATATGGATGTTTTAGGGCTTTCTGGGGATTATCTATGTTGGGTCTGAGCAAAATTTTGTGATACAGATAAATGTTACTCCTACTAGGCCATTGATGGGGAGTTAGAGATTTGTTAGTGTGGATGAGATGATCAATTGTGATAGACCCTGGATGGATGTGATTGTGTGTTCTTACTGGAATGAAGGCTGGACAGTCAGTAAGAGAAGACTCAAGCTCAAGTAAGACTGAGCATCACAACAATGTCCCTTGAAGGAGTCTTTTATTTTGTCCCATATTTGACATTTTTTCTTGGCTGCGATTTCAATGCCTTTTAAGGGAAAGCACAGAAAATATAATTTCTTTTCTTTCTCTTTTTAGGATCTTCATTGAGACATTTTCTTTAAAACAAAAGTCAGATTAACCAAAGAAAAGCAAACAGAAGTTTATTAATGCATGTTGTACTCATTACATGGCAGAGGCCTCAGTTCAGAAGTATTTCTCTCTCAAGGCAATGACTTAGGGGCCTTGCTTAAACAGTATTTTAACAAACAGCCATAAATACTATATAGTGACAAGCCTAAGAAGAGAGTAACTTTAGGCTTCCAAAAGGTAGGAAAATGTGGGAAGGTAAATTTTTGGGAAGAGAAGAGCCTGCTCCTGGGTCCTCTCGTGCTGCTTTCTGTGAGTTCTGTTTCTGATCTGATACAGGCAGAGGAGGGACAGAGTGTGCCCATGTGTTTAATTTTTTTTAGGTCCACAATTCCCAGTATTTTAGAGAGGATGATTTTGTTTTTCCTTAACTTTCTTAGGTATCATGGCAGAGGTTGAGTACACAGGCTTCCCTGTCCTGCCTTACAAGTTCTTGCTGGCCTGTGCTTCCCCAACTTCTTCAACCCACCAATACCATCCTTTCCTACCTCAAATAAGAAAAAAACTACCTTGTCTTGTTTCACAAGGAAACTTACGTCCTAGTACCAGTTACTCAGAATCACTTGCAGAAAACAAAAAAACATTATCTAGTTCCTAGATAACATGGGGAGGCTTAATCATTCAGTTTCCTCATGAGATATATATGTATGTTCTCCATTTAAAATAGGTGATTATTTCTATTTTGCCTCATTTAAGCTATGTGGTCTATATTGCCCCTTAAGGGCCAAGGCAGAAAAGAAATGGGGGGATGGAGCCATTTATCTCAAGGGACATCCATTTGTTTTGAATCCTTAAAGTCCCAGTGCTAAGGATTCTGAAAATGTTCTTGATATGGGAAACCTCCAGGCTCTAGCCTTCTCTTGCAGAATCAGCCAGAAGCCTGGGAAAATCTGAGAGGGAAGGATGAAAATAAAGGAAGGATGACTACTGCAGAGGCATGCAATGTTTTTTGGGTTTTTTTTTTTTTTTTTTTTTTTTGTGGTTGACATAATAAAACATCAGGAACAAGAAACACGGCACACAACCCATGATGGAGACACCAAAAAGCCCCAAATTGGGGCATTCCCCATTCCTGACTATGGAATTTAGTATTTAAGAGTCTCACAATCCCCAAGGTTCCACAGTGTAATCCTTATTATTGGATCCAGGAGTTGGCAGTTGTTTCCCTTTTGTTTACAGATCAGTTATTCCATCCATGGCCTCAGGGATGTGAGTAATCCTGTAACAAAGAATTCTGGGAGTGGTTAAAAGTCATGGCTGGCCAACATTTCAATAAGCTTGAGGTGCCTTCAGCGAAGGGCAGGGCATAGACCAGTGGGCTTCTAAAAGGCCAGGCAGAAGAATCCAAGGGATCTGAGTCTTCATTCTCTGGAGCGACTGCTGATTACAAGCACATGGCACAGAATTGTGACGGGACCCCTGGGGACAGGTCTTGAATGAATCCCTTTTATACTTCTCTCCACAGTTTATGACATCTAGGTTTAGGAAAGCAGAGTGTAGATGGGAAATGTTAGAAAAAGCACAGGATGCTCTTTTTTTTTGGAGTGTTTTAGATACTTTACTTGAGAATGCTGCACTGTAAAAGCCAAGCCAGGCCAGTGAACTAGAAGATAAAATTTCCTCTTTCTTTGTTCATTGCATCTCATGCAGAAGTGCTGCTGTCTTGAAGTCTGGCATAGGCTCTGCTCTATATGGCCTTGCTCTGCTCAGAGGGCATTGGCTATAAATGGAAAGGGGTGTGGGAAGTTTAGAAAAAGCTCACTGGGTTGATATTTCTTTCACAATCCTTTGTTTAAGTCCTAGCCAAGAAAACCCCTGGAGGAAGGGCAGGGGACCTAAAGGTAATGGGCTCTGCAAAGAACCAAATGTGCAGTTATTCTTTTTGACTTGCTGTGGGCATTAGGGCTGTCAGCCAAACTCCTGGAGGCCTTGGAAGAGAAAGTAGTTCTAAAGCTCTGTTTCTCCTTAATCTGTCTCAACAAAAAAAAAAAGAAAGAAAAGAAAAAGCCTGACATTCAAATTGTAAAAACTTTTTCTCAGCTTCAACTGGGGGAGAGTAAAGAAGGTTAAAAGTCAGCATTCATTCCATTCTTGAATGTTAAGAACATCTTTACAATCCTGCTGAGAGCAAGCACAAATGGATCTTAAAGGTCACATATGTTAGCAGTCTGATGTTGACATAAAGGCAGCCAATTTTGATAGCTTTACAGATGGCTCCTGGTTGACATTCCTACCCAGATTCTCCATGAACTGTTCTAGACCTGAAAAGCCTATGACAGAATGGGAAGGGGACCGTGGAATGAGAAAGGAGGCATAAAGCTTTGTGCCTGCTCTAGGCTTCCAGGCCCCAGTTCTCCCATAGAACTTTCAGCAAAACCAGGGCAAGACCTTCCATAACAGTGCATTATACTACATTTAATTTCCATTATAGTGTTTCAATGTATACAATGCTATGTGTGTAAGTTTTAATCTATACACTAGGACAAGTACCCCAATCAAGAATATATAATTCAGGGTTAGATAGTTAGCATTTTAAATACCTGAATTAAGAATTCACACACCAGAGAAAGTTAACAGAGAGGAGCTTTAAATAATTCTACTTTAATCTGCCTTAGAGAGTTGATTATTTTTCATAAGGAATGGTAGAAGTCCTTGATGGCCTAGACAAAATAGGCAGCTCAGCTCTTGTATTAATGGAAGAAAGGACCTGGCTGGATAATATCCTAGGCTTGGAATTTGTACTGGTCTTGTGCAAGGCCACCTATAGATAATTCTGCCCTGACTCTGATTAGATTAACAGAATCCTGACACTAAGGTAGTATCGAATATGCCTCAGACGAGCTTTTCATGTAGGTCCTTCCTGGAATGCCTAAACCTCAGAACTCACCAGTTCATAGTGTTAGAGTGGGTAGCTAAGCAGACATGAGCAGGGCAGGAGATGGTACCCCCTCCCCAGGAATGTCAGGTGACCATCACGTGATGGTCAGCGGGTTGTTAAACTGTCTGTCTAAAACAATAATTGGTCGAAGCTGGCACTAGGGAAAGGCAAACTCTCAGTAGGTGGAAAACACCTGATGCTGGTTATCAGCGGCTTCCTAATAAGATCTCAGGAGTTGGGTGAGCAGCCTCAGCATGTACACTAAGAGGCAAAATGGCAGAGTTTAACTGGTATATGAACTTCCTTTAGGAACACTGGACTGGTAAGGGAAAAAATACCTCAAATGAGCATGTGCACAACTTCAGTAAACACATACACATTTCACACGTAGCGCCTCCTAAGTGCTGGCAGGCCACTGTGCGTGCATCCTGCCTGCCCCAAGGAAAACTCAAGGGAGGAGACACACAAACCCTGGAACCATTCCAATGTGTAAAAACTCCATGTCAAGGGTCTGACTGGGTACTTGGATCTCTCAAGTCATCTGCTTGACTCTCTTCCAAGTTTACTTTACTTCCTTTTGTTCCTACTCAAAAACTTGAAAAAAAATGTTCACTCCTGCTCTAAAACTTGCCTTGGTCTTTCCTTCTGTCTTGTGCCTCTCAGCTGAAATTTTTCCTCCAAGGAGGCAAGAATCATGTTTGCTACAGACCTGTTGGATTCACCACTGCTAATGATAGAACAGATTATATGACACTTTTGTGCCTGCTTACTACTAAATGTTATGTAAATATGCCAGAATTCGTTCTAAGTTTCATTTATTATATCTTATCATTTAATATGTATAAACCCAGGTTAGGGGTACAAATGGAGGCCCACATACCATAGCTTTAAAGGTTTAAAATTATAAATCAAGTTGGCAAACTTTAAATTATGTTTTTCCTTCTACCTTGACAACACTGAAACACTATTTATTAATGTCATCTGAGAAGAAGAATGTAATAAATTGACTAAGTTGCCTTTTCTCTTAGTGAAGTGTTTTTACTACTCAAATCCTCTTCACACTCATAAGTACTTTTAATCATGGATTGACAGCAGCAGAGCCCACAGATCTTCACAGGATTAAGATAGTACTGCTTTTTGATGTGAGAATTTTGGGTAAGAAAGAGGAGAAAGCATTTCTGTGAGACCTAAATGGCATCCTTGATATGTGAGTCTCTCTAAGGAGCAAGTTTCAGGAATGGTGCTTCTCTTGCATAGGTCTAGGAAGGTACTGCTTTGAAGTCACAGATATCTAACAAAAATAAAAATAAAAAAACCTTCAAGTTGTGAAGAGCTGAATTAGCTGAAATCAATTATAAACATTTATTGTGGCAGATACTGGAGATGCCCCAGTTATATCCCGTTGGTGTCCCCTCTTCCATGCATTCAGCTCTTAAAGCTCTTACTGTCTTACTGTCAGTGTCTACACTTTGAGGACATCTGGCACTTGCCCTTGCCTAGGGCAGACAAAAATTCTGGAATCGATGCCTTTGTAAGTGTTCTGAACTAGTGAATGAGAGTTGATGGATAAATATTTTAGCTTCCTTGTTCTTTGGGTGTGACGACTGTGAGCTTAGTCTATAATATATTTCAAAGAAGAATACATATATAAACAATAAAAACTGCAAGGTAAAATCAGAAAACTATCAATAAAAAATAGACAATTACCACCAAACTGCCCATACAACATAAGAAGTAAGTGGAACAAGAAATATGTTGAATTTCTATGAAGTTAATAATGTCTTTTAAAAAACTCAAACAAGGTAGAATGACGAGTTGAGATTAACAGTATTGAAAAGATGCCAGTTTCCTTCAATCAAATTCCTAATAGTTGTTTTTAATAGACTTGAAATTTTTTATTTTTAAATGTATCCGAAAGAAAATCCATAAACAGTTAAAAACTAGTGGAAAACACAGTTTGCCAGTGGGTAATGAAAGTAGCTTTTCCTTAGTGCATACTATAAAATGAATTTATAACTAAAATCATGTGGATTGGCATAGTCATAAACAAGTAGAATAGCCATAAGCATATATATTTATTTATAATAAAAATTACATTTAAAATCTATTGAGAAAGAAGTTTTTACGGAAGGCTCTAAGTCCAAGATTCCTACACAGATTTCCCAGGCACCATTATAGATGTGGAATCAATGATAAAATGGGCATTTTACTGCTGTTTGGGCAATTTTAAAGCTATGTATTTTAAAGTAAAGAAAATTTACCTCAGAAATACAAAGAATATATTCTAGATAGAGGAATAAACTAAGAATTAAAATTTTAAAAAACATATCCATTTCAGAAGAAAATACAGAAGAGTGTACTTTAATACTGGTTGAGCTTTGCATCCAAGCTATCTGGGTTAAAATCCTGGCTTTTCCAAGTCCGATCATGTGACCCTGGGAAGTGATCTCTTTTTGCCTAATCCTCTTCTCTGAATTGGTGATCATATTAGTATCTACTCATAAAATTGTCATATAGATTATATGATTTATGAGAAATGTAATGCAAGGACAGTTCTTAGTTAATACTAAGTTCTATTTGATTTTGAAAATAAAATAGAAAGATATCTTACTAGTAATGACAGTAATTAAAATACAATAACAATGATGTTATATAAATGATTGGTAATATCTAATTTGATATAGATGCAAGTAATTAAGCAGTCATATATTGGTTAAATATAAGTAAAATGGAACTAGTATTTTGATGGGAAATTTTAAAAAATTTGCAGCAATATACCCTTTGACCCAAACATTTCATTGTTAGGAGTCTGTTCTGGGGAATCACATGCAGATGTTCATTGTCACTTTTCATAAGAGCAAAATGGCAAACAATTTAAAAGTTACTCAATTATGGAAGATTAAATTAATTATGGTAAATCATATGCTATTCAGACACTAAAAATATTTGAGTAGATACATATATACTGAAGTTGGAAATACCAAGATATAGTCAAGTTAAAGCTCAGGTCAAATTACAATATGTAGTGTATAATCTCATTAATGCCACAGAGCAAACAACATGTAAGTATGGACTTGTACAGAAAAGTAATGAACTGATAAACACCAGTTAACAGCAGCCAGTTGTCTGAGGTTAGAAAATCAGAGTGAATAAGGACAGTGACAAAACATTCACATACTACTTGATCATTGACTGTGTAACACTTCCATACTATTAAATTTTTAAATAAGCATTACAGTAAACGTTATGAAAATAAATGAGAGGAAGACTTTATGAAAGATATGTTACTTCATTTGTGTCTTACAACATAGTTATGTTGTGTTTTGAAGAGACAAGGTAGAAATGAGATTCTGGGCAGGAATAAACATGGCAAGTGGGTCTGCAAAAGCATGAGATACTAGGCTGAGGACAACCCTCTACCTATGAGACATGGCTATAGAAGTAAAACCTAGAAAGCTGTACAGGAAAACAATTCTGTCTTCTAAAATCCAGTCTTTGAAAAGGTCTATATAATTCTGAAAATTAAATATTAGAGGGAAATCAATTTTAAGTGTATATTGTTGAGAAATTATTTTGTCTGTGGTCTCCTCAATATCCTTAACAGCCTTATTTCTTGCCAGCAGAGTCTGTTTTTTATTAGTTTGTTTGCTTTTATGCATTTATGGAAGGTGAACCCTTTTAACTAGCCCCAGAGGGCAAATGTTGATAAGTTTAAGTAAATCCTGGAAATTCTGTATGTTGTCAATCACTGATTTAAGCAAAGATATGGGACACAACTCTGGACTAAGAAAATCTGCCAGGGAGTTTCTGTGAAATATTTCCTACCCTGAAAAGTTTATATTTCCTTTGGAACATGGGTTGTCGGGTAATGGTTGGAATTTCTGCTGCTATCTTGCAATTATGAAGAAAGTTGGGAGAACTGTGGAGAAGAGCCAGAACCCTGGCATCTTTGAGCTATTATATTAACTAAATCTAGAAATCCCTAGCCTCTAGAATTTTCCTTATATGGGAAATTAAATTTTTCTCATTGTATAAGTTTTTTTATTTGGTATTCTATTACTCATGGCTAGTAACTAATTCATATATAAATGGAAAAAAAAATGAGCTCACTCTACGAGATTCAATTTATTTATTCGTTTATTTTTGAGACAGGATCTCACTCTGTCACCCAGGCTGGAGTGCAGTAGTGCAATCTTGACTCACTGCAACCTCCACGCCCTGGGCTCAAGTGATCCTCCCACTTCAGACTCCTGAGTAGCTGGAACACAGGCATGCACCACCACACCTAGCAATTTTTTTTTTTTTTTTGGTAGAGATGGGGTCTCACCATGTTGCCCAGTCTGGTCCCAAACTCCAGAGCTCAGGTGATCCCATGAGCCACCATGCTCAGTCACATGATTCAATTTAGACGCTGGAATTTGTATATTTGGTGCTAACCACCACTTCTTACACTTGGCTTACATTAGCCAGGTATAATAAGCTTTTAGAAAATGAGATAATACCTATTATTTTGAAAGATAATTTTCAACAAAATTGTATATATTAGAACATGTATTCAGAAAATAAATGGACAATGTAGGCAAATAAGTAATAGTGATTTTCTAATGTCTAATGACAAGTAATTGAATCTATATTTGTATCTTATATGTACATAGCTCCAAGTTTGTTTTACATTTAATTAAAGTTCCCAGGCTTTTAAAACGTTCCTTTATTATTAGTGTCATCTGTTTCCTTCACAATTATTTAAATTTGCTATTTGTGTTCTTAATTAACTTTACTTAAAACATGCTTAGAATGACTTACATACTGATACAAATATCCTTTGTAATATTGCCTGTTCTGAATCAAGCATCATGCTTTATCATTGTCTTCTCTGAAATAATCATGTCCATTGAATTTATTTAGTATAATGCAAGCTTTTTCATTCCAGGAGATTACCATGTAAACCATGTAAGTGGTAAATACATATCTAAAAGCAGACAAGATAATATGTTCTAATAAATTTTAGGAGTCTAATCTTCATTCTTCATTTTTTACTACAAATGTTGATATTACTTACTTTGTACCTAATTATGTTCAGGATCTTGTGTTGGGTGTTTGGAGGGATAAAAAGTTTAATAAAACACAACTCTTGTCCTCAAAGTTGTACATATTTCAAAAGGTAAGTTAAAATTTGTATGTTACTTTATATTATGTTATAGACCTATCTATATATCAGATACACCTAAAACAGAAAAGCTTTTTTTATGCTCATTTTTGGAAAGTACTATTTAGAATTCAATGTAGGTAACGTAAAAAATAAGGTAATATTTAATTATGGTACTAATACCATTTAAATTAATAACTACTACTTATTTAATGAAATTTCACTTTTTGGACTTCATGAACTCAGTTCACTGATTGTGTAGTTATAGCTCATAAATATTCTAGGGAATTGACAGTTTTAATTCCTTTCTAAAGAATCTTCTCTAAACATTTTCATTACAAGGGCAAGCCAAGTTTTCTTAATTTTCATTTTATTTAATAGAATTTAACTCCCCTTTGCCTTTCCTTTCTTGATAGTTTTAGCCATGAATTAAAATCTTTATCCTGCTGCTTGTGCAACAGTTTGTATTATAAGCAATATTGTCTTGCATAGCTTTTCAAATCTTTATTTCATTTATTGGTCCCTCTTTTAAATCAGTTTCTACAAATGTACTGAATTTTAAAATTCAGCTAATCCTTTTGAGCTGTGCAATAGTGGGTTCTAGATATACAGATATCTAGATATACAGGTCTGTAGCCACAATAGAATAAAGCTAGAATATAATTGCTTGCTTTCTAAAGTAGGCTCTTGAAAGAATGCACATATAGGCAAAAATACATGGTTTGTAAGGAGTTGAATCTACAACTTATTTTAGGCAAATCATATTAGATTTGATAAAACATCGTTAGAGAAAATAAGGTTAAATAGTGTGACACAATTATTTATTCATTAACTTTTAGTAGTAGTTGATACTCATTAATAACATTTAATTTATTTGCTTGCTATTTATTTATTAAAACCTGACAGGGTATCAGGGTGTATGCTTGGCCCAGGAGTTACAAAGATCAGAAGACATAGTTGTCACATAGGGAATTTTGGCCAGATTTATAGCTATGTAGAAATGTATACTATTCACCAATAATGACTACTTTGCATAATGTAGTGACTTTAAAATAGAAACACAGTCATAGGCTTATATCATTTACTATTTCTTATATTGCAACCAGTACACATTTTGATGTAGTCATAATTGTGGACAAGGGCAAATGTTAAAGATCCCTTCATTCTTACTGTGACAGGCCTTTGAGAGCTACACTTCCCTGAATGTATTTGCTGTTCCTTAGGCTTTACTCAGCCTCTCTTAGTTTTCTTTTTTTCTATTCCCCCAATACACTTTGGCTAAATTGTCACTTAGTAAATTTACCACTTCATTTCTCCAAGTACCAATTTTTTAAATTAAAGCCATTAACTTGGACTTCTTTTCTATACTTTAGTTACTCAGAAGTAGAAACTTTGTTTAAAAACAATATTGTCATAAATTTGTATCATTATCAAATTTGTTCACGTATGTTACATTATTGGATCTCTTGAATAGAAGTGATTGGATAAATGATGCACTTTTCTGTGTTGGTTTCTGAATGTTGGAAGTTCTCCTATATACAATTTAGCTCTCTCTTTAAAGTATAGCACACTTAAAATCTCTGGGACTATTCTTCTCATACTTCCTTAGTATAAGAGAATAAAATGCAGCAGGATTGATTCATGGGCTTGAATTTCTTTTTGGGACAGCCTTTTGGCTGTCCATGTATCAAGACCTTGGAAATGAAACAGACAGGGAAGATAAGACTATGCTCATATGAAGATGGAATCTTGAAGAAGAGGGGTGGGAAATAAACAATAAACAAACAAATGAGATGATTTCAGATAGTGATAAACATTATAACATAATTAATTCGTGCCAATCAGAGCATAACAGTGGTGTGGTGGCTGTGGAACAGATAGCAGACCTCTTAGGATGAAACACAGCAAAAAATGGGTCATATAAAATGAAGCTGGAAAGATAGGCAGGGGCCTGATGGGGAGCACTTAATATTTAAACATAGGCCTAAGTCTAAAGTAAATGTGAAGACAAAGAGGAAAGCATGTCATATAAATGTTATATAGTCGGGTGAAATAGAAATAATGCAAATAAAAATTGTAAGAAAAGGAGAGTGAAAGAAGCAACAGAATAAGCTCATTGATAGATTACATAGGCAATAATGGAAGTTAAAGACACCATCAAAAATTAGCAAATAAGTTAGTAAAAAAGAAAAGCAGTAGACTAAGGGCATTTAAATAAGGAATATATACAAAGATAACAACTAGAACAACAATGAAAACATTCTTATATGCTAAAAGAAATATAAAAAAGTGTAAGAGTAAAGAGAACAGAAGATGTAGAGACACACGGCAAATATGCCTTAATGCTCATAAAAAGTATAACATAAAGTAACATGATGGAGTTGAGCTAAAATATAAGGTCACATCAATGTAGGTGATTGGAATTAACTCATATTTTAAACTAAAAAATGTTTTCAATTTGAATCTAAAAGCAAAACTAACTAAAGGCTAAGACACACCTCAGGCTAATAATAAAAAGAAGGGCAAATGTAAAATATATTAGACAGATATAAAAAACAAGGTTTTTTATATACATATATATTACATAGGTTGTAATCGTAATATCCAATATAGAATTCAGTGTGAAAAAGGACAGTCTTAATACAGATTATTGCAATTTTAACAATCATATAATAGTTATATATGTTCATACACAAAATAACATAGTAACTATCTTGATAAGTTAAAAACCACAGTAGATTCAAGAAGATACATATATAACCACACCAATAATAGAATAATGCTGTTCACCATAAGAGATATCAAGTTAACAAAAGTAAGTTTTAAAAGACCAAACTAATGAAATTAATGATATATCTTTTAGAATATATTTATATATATATATGAAATTTGCCCTCTGACAATAATGAATACGCTTTTTCTTCAAGTGTATATGGAATATTCACAAAACTTGATAATATGTTAGGTCACAAAGAATGTGTCCGTAAATTTCATGAGGTACAAATATTTTAAACAAGTATTTGATCCTAGTGCAAGAAAAAATTAAAAAGTTTAGGCTGGGCACGGTGGCTCATGCCTATAATTCCAACACTTTGGGAGGCCGAGGTGGGTGGATCACTTAAGGTCAGGAGTTCAAGACCAGCCTGACCAACATGGTGAAACCCTGTCTCTACTGAAAATACAAAAGTTAGCCAGGTATGGTGGCAGGCACCTGTAATTCCAGCTTCTTGGGAGGCTAACACGGGAGAATTTCTTGAACCCAGGAGGTGGAAGTTGCAGTGAGCCAAGATCACGCCACTGCACTTCAGCCTGGGCAACAGAGTGAGACTCCATCTCAGAAAAAAAAAGTTTATAAGAGCTCCTCCATTTGGACATTAAATAAAATTTTCTATTAAACTAACTTGGTAGAAAGGGAAAATAACTTCTGAATATGTAATTTATAAAAGGTAACATAAACACTACACATAAGAATCTATATGTTAAAGCAGTAATAAAAGGAAGACTTCTATAATTAATCATATTTATCAATAAGGACTAAGAAATGCAAATAAGTGAATAAAAAATATATTCTCATTAAATACTAGAAAAGGAACAAGAATAAATGAAAATAAAACAAAAGAAGTAAATGATAAAGATATAAACAAAAATCAAGAAGGTAGGGTATTAAAAAACAGTAGATATATATAATAAAAATATGCATGTTTTGAAAAAAATTAGACAATAACTAAGAAAAAACAAGTATAGAAATATACAAAATGAGAAATAACAATGAACACAACTATTGAAACAAATAGAACAAAATGAAACTATGCAAATAAATCTGAAAACCTAAATAAAATGGACAACTTCCTAGGAAAACATTCTACCAGGTGAACCCCATTAGACATGAAAAGCTTAAGCAGACTGTATCAGTCTAGGTCCATTCAGCATCATATCAGCAATGTCAGAAACCAGCATGATGCTGTACAATGAAAAGTTAATCAGATTCCTTAAAGATTATAATACAGGGCTGAGACTTCATTCATATATCTTTGTATTGTTTTAATCAAGGTATATTGCTAGCCTTTCTAGCTGAAACCAAAACACTTCTGATGGTAGAGAAAAAAAGACTCCATTTTTGAAAGCAAACATGTTTTATCCTGCATATATCTGGATTACCACAAATGAATTTTCCATCCTTTAATGTTCTTTTTGTTAAAGTTAGGGGATTGATTGGGAAGGAGCAGGATCCTGAACATTAGAATAAAGACACTTGTGGGCCATGTGCCAGTAATTTAAGTATCTGATCTAATTATTTTTTCTCCAACTTATCTAGAACACTTAGAAACAACCAACCAGTCTTATTTTACATCTTGTTTTCAGTAAGCTGTTCTATAGCAGCAAATGCTTAGTCACCCAAAGCCTTTCCTTATATTGGTACTAAATTACAGATGTCTATGGATGATATTTATATACTTGTTTGCTGTGGCGTGCAATGTACTGCACTTACTACTAGGAAGAGTCATTAGTAACTAAATCTAAACAGTACAGAGAATCAATTCTATATAGGTAAATATCAGTTCTGGAGACGCAGTCTTAAATTTCTGTTTATTTGGAACCACTCTTGGTTTAATTATATACATAAGAATTTGTTATAGGGATTGGTATATATACATAAATACATTCACATGTATATTTAAATGACAGTGAATGTCTCCTTGGAAACCATGGAGTCCAGAAAGAAGTGGCCCACTATTTTCTAAGTTTGGAAGGGAAAGAACTGTCAGGAATTCTACATATGGAAAAAATATCTTTGAGGAATTAAGGGGAAATCAACACATTTTCAAAGGAGTAAAAACAGGCACATGTTAAAATAATGGTGAATGGTATTCTAAACAGAAAATGAAAGATAGAAGAAATCTTAATATTAGGAAGGATTAAAGAACACAGCAAAAAATGGTTAATACAGTAGTCTTTCTACTCTTGAGTTTCTGAATTATGTTTAATGATTGGAGGAGAAAAATTATAAAATGATGTAATATAATTCTAAATATATGTAAGAGAAATATTTAAGGTAATTATATTATAAATGAGGGAGGCTTAAGAGATATAAAGGAGGAAAAGTTCCTACATTTCACTTAAATTGGTAAAATAAGAGCACCAACAGATTGTGAAAAGTCATGTATATAAAATAAAATATTTAAAGGAATCAATAAAATATTATACAAAGAGATTGAAAAATATAAATACATCAAAATAGAATTCTAAAATGTCATTATATATAGAAAGGTCAGAAAAAGAAAACAGAAGAAGGAAAAATAGATCAGAATACATAGAAATAAAATGGTAAACAGAGACCCTAACCAAATTAACTGTAAACAGTCTTAATACACTAAGTAAAATAAATTATCAGAGTAAATTAATGATGTGACTCAACTACATGTTGTTTACAAAAATTCGTTTCAAATATAATGTAAATGCGGGTTAAAATAAGCAATGGAAAAAACATTTCATACAAATACTAATCAAAAACCAGCACTGGCTGCATTAATATCATATGAATTAGACCTCAAAGTAAAGAAACCTACAGGGACATAGAAAGGCATTATGTAGTAATAAAAGGGTCAATCCAACAAGAAGATATCATAATCCTATATGTATATGCACCAAACAAGATAACTACAAAATATGCGTAGCAAACCTGATGGAACAGAGAGAAAAATCCACAGTTACAGTTAGAGACTTCAACACACCTGTCTTAACAGAACAACTGGAATAATCAACAACAATACAGAACTCAAGAACACCGTCATCCAACAGAATCTAATCAAATTTTATAGAATATTTCTGACAACAGCAGAATACACATTATTTTTCAGTGCCCACAGAAGGTATTCCAAGGTATACCACACTAATGGCCATAAAACAATACTTAACGAATTAAAAAAAATTGAAATCACACAAAGTGTTCACCAACTATGGGAACTGAACAACATACTCCTAAATACTCTTTTGGTTAAAGTGAGTCTCAAGAAAATTAACAAAGTACATTGACTGAGTGGAAGTGAAAATACAACCCATTAAAACTTTTGAGATACACTAAAATAGTACTAATAGGGAAATTTAAAGCACAGACTATATACATTAGGAAAGAGAAGAAGTCTCAAACTAATAATCTAGTCTTCACCTCAAGAGCCTAGACAAATATCAAAATAAATCCAAAGCAAGCGAACAGAAGAAAATTATAAAGATAACAGCAGAAATCAATGAAAATGAAAACAGCAAAACACTAGAAAAAAATCAATGAAACAATAAAATCATGGGAAAACAAAATCAATGAAACCAAGTGATATTTCTTTTTTTTTTTTTAACTTTTATTTTAAGTTCATGGATACAAGTGCAGGTCTGTTACATAGGTAAACTTGTGTCATGGAAGTTTATTGTACAGATTATTTTGTCACCCAGGTATTAAGCCTAGTATTCATTCATTGTTTTCCCTAATATTCTCCCTCCTGCCACCCTCTACCCTCCGAAAGGCCCCAGGGTGTGTTGTTCCCCTCTGTGTGTCCATACGTTCTCATCATTTAGCTCCCACTTATAAGTGAGCGCATGTAGTATTTGGCTTTCTGTTCCTATGTTATTTTGTTAAGGCTAATGGCCTCCAGCTCCAGCCATGTCCTTGCAAAGGACATCATCTCATTCTTTTTTTGTGGCTGCATAGTATTCCATGGTGTATATGTACCACATTTTCTTTGTCAAGTCCATCATATATGGGCATTTAGGTTGATTTCATGTCTTTGTTATTGTGAATAGTGCTGCAATTGAACATTCACGTGCATGTGTCTTTAAAATAGAATGTTTTATATTCCTTTGGGTATATACCCAGTAATGGGATTGCTAGATCAAATGGTATTTCTGTCTTTAGGTCTTTGAGTAATTGCCACATTGTCTTCTGCAATGGCAGAACTAATTTACAGTCCAACAGGATATAAGTGTTCCTTTTTCTCCACAACCTCGCCAGCATCTGTTATTTTTTTGACTTTTTAATAATAGCCATTCTGATTGATGTGAGGTGGTATCTCATTGTGATTTGGATTTGTATTTTTCTAATGATCAGTGATGTTGAACTTTTTTTCATTTGCTTGTTGGCTGCATGTATGTCTTCTCTTGAAAAGTTTCTTCTGTTCATGTTCTTTGCCCACATTTTTATGGAGCTGAAGCAAAGTGATACTTCAAAAAATTCAATATAATTAAAAAATCTCCAGAAAGATTTACAAATACAATAGGAGAGTAGACATAAATTATAAAAATCGGGGACAAAACAGGGAATATCATGACAGTTGCTGTGGGCATTAAAATAATAATAAAGGAACAACATTAATAACTGTACACACATAAATTTGACAACTTAGAAGAAGTGGACCAAACAACACAAACTATCAGGATTCATCCAATATGTAATAGATAATTTATAGTTTTAAAACTTCCAAAAGTTAAATCTTCAGGCCCTTATTATTTCACTTGAGAGTGCTACCAAAAGCTTAAAATAGAATTAACACTAATTCTACACATATCTTTCAGAAAATAGAAGAAAATGCTTTTTATGAAGCTAATGTTATATTGATACCTAAACCAGACAAAGGCATTACAGTAAAAGGAAATTAGGGGCAGTATACCTCATGAATATAGGCAGAAAAGTTATTAACAAAACATTATCCAATAAAACTAAATCATATATAAAAATAGTTATACACTATAAGCAAATATGTTTTATTCCAGGGATCCAAGTAAGTTTCAATTTTTGTAAATCAATGTAATCAACACTATTAACAAGCTAAGAAAGATTACATGATTACATGTAATCTTTACATGATTACATGATTACATCAATCAATCCAGAAAAAGTATTTGACAAAAAGTCAACATTCATTCATGATAAAAGTTCTCAGAAAAATAGAACTAGGGAAGAACACCTATTGAAAAAAAAAAAAACCCTACAGCTTATATTTTACTTAATGCTGAAAGATTGAATGCTCTTCTTCTAAATATTGAGAACAAGGCAAGGATATTTGCTTTTATCACTGTTATTTACACAGTGCTGGACATTCTAGCCACTGTAATAAGGCAAGAAAATAAAATAAAAACATATGTATCAGAAAGCAATAAATAAGACTATTCCTATTTACATATGATATTATTTTCTACATAGGATATTCAAAGGAATCTACAAAAATACATCTAGAACTTATAAGTAAGAACTTATAAGTTCCACATATTCACAAAATATAGATAAACATGCAAAAAATAAGCATATTTATATACTATCAATGAAGTGAACACAGAAAATTACAGTACCATTTACAATGGCTCAATAAGTGAAATATTTAGGTATAAATCTAACAAAACTTGTACAAGATTTTTATGCTGAAAACTACATGATTCTGATGAAGGAAATCAAAGAAAATCTAAGTCTGAATAGAGATACCTTATTTATGGATTGGGAGACTCAACATAGTAAAGATAACATTTCTCCCCATATACAGGTTTATGCAATCCCAATCAAAATTCCAGAAAGACTTTTTCTGTAGGTATAGACAAGAATATTCTAAAGTGTACAGAGAAATGCAAAAGAAAAGAATTCCTAAAACAATTTTGAAAAGGAAGCATAAAGTAGTAGGAATACTATATAGTCTTGCCTTGTTTATGGTTGAAACTCTGTGATATTGGTGGAGGGAACAGATATATAGGTCAACAGAACAGAACGGAGAACAGAGAAATAGACCTACATAAATATGCCCAACTAATTTTTGACAAATGTGCAAAGCAACTCAGTGGAAAAAAGATAGCCTTTTCAACAAACGATACTGGAGTAATTAGAAATCCATAGGTAAAGGGAGAGGGATGAGAGAGAGAGAGAAACTTGACCTCAGTTTTCTTCATTTTACAAAAATGAAGTTCTTTTGGTGATGGATATGTTTAGTATCTTGGTTGTGATGATACCATCATGGCTGTAAGCATGTGTCCAAACTCATCTAGATGTACATATTAAATGTTTGCAATTTTTCACCTATCAATTATACCTCAATAAAGTTAAAGAAACCAAAATTAACCCTTTCCATTCTTTGTTCTCCTTTTCTTTCCTTACTTGCTGCTTTCCCCTCTCCCTACATTTTTGCTTCATGTTCATTTTCCCTTCCCTTCTGCTCTCCTTCCTCTTCCTTTTCTTCTACATCTCTACTCCCTCTTTGTTACATTGTTTAATTTTCATTTTATTCCTTTTTTTATTTGTACAAAACTATTTGGAGACACTTATAAGATCAAACATAATGCAAAATAAGAGTATTAGTGATACAAAAATTAGACATTAAGTGAAACAATACAATTAAATTATATTTGTCACTCCTTATGAATTGAAGTGTTTGATATCATTTAAAAATGTCTCTATATGGGACATATGAAGCGAGTTATTCTTTTTCTGTATCTTTTTTTCTTTTGTAAACATTTTTTTGTTTTGTTGTAAAAATGGCTTTATAAAAGGACTTTTATAAGCCCCCCAAAAAATGTCTCTAAAGTTTCTGGGTAACTATAAAAAGAAAACAGTTTTCATTATGTAAGAAATTAAAACAGGTCTTAGTATGTAAAAAAACTTTTTCCCTGAAACTAACTTGGCAGAATAATTTTGTGTTGGTTAGGGTTTGAGAAACACTATACAGTGAAATAGACTCTGCTTTAAAAAAAAAAAAAACTTTCGGATGAAGCTTTTCTCTAGGCAATAGAGAAAACTTTATCATCATTAGCATTAGGTTTAACATTTGTCACTAACATATTTTAGGATCTTCCCTGGATTATTCATTCCTTTAGCCTCAACTGTGTGGAATGCACTGTACTGAGTATACTTACACGTTTACTGCAGCTGCCTTGGCATTAACTCTGCAATTCCCAGTATCAAGGAACTTTCCAAGTATCTTGTATTCACAGTGCTGTGAGAATCCTGTTGAAAATGACCTTCTGTGTTCTTTACTGCTAGGGTGCTACCATAGTCTTACTACTCAAACAGCAGTCTGAGAATCAGAAGCAGGCATCACAGAGCTTACTTAACATGAAGAGTCTCAGACTCCACACTAGACCTACTACTTCATACTGTGCAGTTTAACAAAATCTCCAGGTAATTCAAATGTACATTAAAGTTTTTGTGCATGTGTGGAGACTCATTATAAGGGGCAGACTCACATGTTGCCAGGTTAGTAATTAGTGACCCCCTCTTGGCTAGACTATTGTGAGGACAGAACAAAACACTGTTTTATAAAAGCCTGCATCCAGGTATAAAGAAAGAAGTTTAAAGTAAAAACATTGTAAGTAACTTTATAGTGAGAAAAATTATTTTTGGAGATAATAGACGCTTGAAATTGTATTTGTGTCATAGTCAGTCATATAAATCTACCTGTGAATTTTTTGCATTTAGAATGAAAATAGAGTTCAAGGATATTATACACTCATAATAAAGCCACATTCTACTGTTTAAAGAATTAAAGAATGGGTGAAGTTTTCATCCAGGCAAGGTAGGTGTTTTATCACTAATATTAGTACTAACATGTATCACTAATATGCATTTTTAAGATTTTTCCTGAACTAGTCCTTTCGTTAGTGCTAAGTGTAGAAATACATGGCAGTTTGGCTTTCATTGGCCATGTTACAGAGCAAATTTAGGTCTGTATTATATGTATCACTTTAAAGTATGGAATAACATAAAAGCCCTACCTTTTTAACTGATACTTGAAGGCACTATTTCTAAAATACCATTTTCCAATGCTTTGAAATTTATTTTCTTCTTCAGTAAGAAGAAAATTTCTGTTTTCCTGAATGATTACTGGTGAAAAGGGCAGAAAAAGAGCTAGAGTCAGAGTAACAAGGCCCTACTTACTTTACTTGACTTCACTTATTTGCTGGGTAGTACAAGAGTTACATAATTTTGATTTTGATTCTTTGTTTCTTCACCTGCAAAATGAGATAATTATTAAGAATAAAAGAAGAGCTAATTTTGTATGAATAATAAATATACCAATACACAGTATTATTTCCGCCATCATTTTGTTTGGAAACCCAGCATTACATGGTATATTTTTAATTTTTTACGATTGTATATAAGTGGAGGGGATCAATAATTATAAAAATGGTTTTGACTACTTCATTTAAAAGTCACGTATAAAAAGTAGAAAATATATATATTATATTTCCTGCTGTGCAATCTTAGGGAATTGTGGTATAATCTGTAAGGTTTTGATTTTGCAGCTGTGTTCATTAAGATAACTTTGGACTAAGTCTCGGAAAAAAATTATTGTTGCCAGGAAATCCATCACTAAAGTTTTTAAGTTTCACTAAATTTTCCAGTATTGGATTTCTCAAACAGTCAGATCAAATCTTTTCATTATAGCACATACTTAAAAAGAAAAAAAAAAAAAAACCCTTGACAAAGTATGAAGCTTATTACTTCACACTTGAGGCGTCTCATCCATCTTCAAACTGCTTGCCATGATCCATCAGCTATAATCACCAATTAGATTAATCTTGTTTAAGCTTTGGTTCATTATGTTTTTGTTCACCATTTCTTGCCCTGAAACACTGGATGACCCTGCACCTTCTACTAAATTAAGGTCAAATTCCTTAATCTGGTGATCACAGTCTTCTAAACTATGAATAACCACTCTGTAGCTTTATTATGTATTTCCATGGAATTGGGAGTCTCTATCCCAGCTGTCCTAAGCTTCTTACACTTTCCCTAAACACACATTAGGCTTTTCTTCTTTTAATGACTCTACAGCTTGTGATTAACACACTTCTCTACCATCTTAGTCTATCAGACGTATTTATTTCAAGGCTCATCTTACATGTCTAGAGTAAACATAAATTTAGATTTTCAAGAGAGTCTATTCTATATATGTTTTAATGGGAGTCATAATTAATAAGATTCCTTTAACCCTCAAGAGTATTTCATCAAGTGGTCGTGAATTCAGTCATCCTGATGATCTCAAATACTTTAGTAGCAAGAAAATCTATTGTGGTATAAAGCCTTACCCATAATGGAAAGACAACAATTGTTTGAAAACAAGTAAAGCAGGGGAGGATAGTGTAGAGGAAGTAATAATACAAGAGGGGTGCCAACAAATATGAGATTAACCTTGGTAAAGAAAGACTATACCGGAAATGACTCTTTGTTTATGGCAGAAAAGAAAAATAAGTTAGCAAATTAAAAAATAGTATATGCAAAGCTGCTTATTAAAAGCTTGTATAGTTCAAAATGATTGCTTACATTGTTATTTTTTTAATATATATTTTAATTTTTAGGGTACATGTGCACAACGTGCAGGTTTGTTACATATACATACATGTGCCATGTTGGTGTGCTGCACCCATTAACTCGTCATTTAACATTAGGTATATCTGCTAATGCTATCCCTCCCCCCTCCCCCCACCCCACAACAGGCCCCGGTGTGTGATGTTCCCCTTCCTGTGTCCATGTGTTCTCATTGTTCAGTTCCCACCTATGAGTGAGAACATGCGGGGTTTGATTTTTTGTCCTTGCGATAGTTTGCTGAGAATGATGGTTTCCAGCTTCATCCATGTCTCTACAAAGGACACGAACTCATCATTTCTTATGGCTGCATAGTATTACATGGTGTGTATGTGCCACATTTTCTTAATCCAGTCTATCATTGTTGGACATCTGGGTTGGTTCCAAGTCTTTGCTATTGTGAATAGTGAATAGTGCCGCAATAAACATACGTGTGCATGTGTCTTACAGCAGCATGATTTATAATCCTTTGGGTATATACCCAGTAATGAGATGGCTGGGTCAAATGGTATTTCTAGTTCTAGATCCCTGAGGAATTGCCACACTGACTTCCACAATGGTTGAACTAGTTTACAGTCCCACCAACAGTGTAAAAGTGTTCCTATTTCTCCACATTCTCTCCAGCACCTGTTGTTTCCTGACTTTTTAATGATCGCCATTCTAACTGGTGTGAGATGGTATCTCATTGTGGTTTTGATTTGCATTTCTCTGATGGCCAGGGATGATGAGCCTTTACAGTAACCAAAACAGCATGGTACTGGTACCAAAACAGATATATAGACCAATGGAACAGAACAGAGCCCTCAGAAATAATGCCACATATCTACAACTATCTGATCTTTGACAAACCTGACAAAAACAGGAAATGGGGAAAGGATTCCCTATTTAATAAATGGTACTGGGAAAACTGGCTAGCCATATGTGGAAAGCTGAAACTGGATCCCTTCCTTACACCTTATACTAAAATTAATTCAAGATGGATTAAAGATTTAAATGTTAGACCTAAAACCATAAAAACCCTAGAAGAAAACCTAGGCAATACCATTCAGGACATAGGCATGGGCAAGGACTTCATGTCTAAAACACCAAAAGCAATGGCAACAAAAGCCACAATTGACAAATGGGATCTAATTAAACTAAAGAGCTTCTGCACAGCAAAAGAAACTACCATCAGATTGAACAGGCAACCTACAGAATGGGAGAAAATTTTTGCAGTCTACTCATCTGACAAAGGGCTAATATCCAGAATCTACAATGAACTCCAACAAATTTACAAGAAAAAAACAACCCCATCAACAAGTGGGTGAAGGACATGAACAGACACTTCTCAAAAGAAGACATTTATGGAGCCAAAAGATACATTTTTATTTAATGATACCATGCTTTTAATGTTCACTTAATGTAGTTATAAATGACAAATTGACAATGTTATTTTTTTAAAAATGTGAAATACGAAAAGAAAATGATGGTAGAAATGGATAATACAGAGTAGTAATTTGGAGAATAGACTCTGAAAGCAGACTGTCTAGGTCAGAGTCCTGCCTTTTCTTCTTAATAGCTATATCATTTTGCCAAGTTTTCTAACCTCAGTTTCTTCATTGTCTTGGTTTCCTCATTGTGAAATGGAGGTGACATATCGGTGCCTACCTAATAGAATAATTATGAGATCTCACTTAGTATAATGCTTGGGAATCAGTGAGCCATGTATTAGTAATTGTCAATAAAATAATTATATTTAAGTTGAAGAACAGATTTGAATGGAAAAGGTACTAAACACATTCTATTACTTCTTGCTAATCTGACTGATAAAAAGATATTGTGCCAGCTATGCTTTTTCCATATGATGAGATTCATATACATAAAGCACTGTTTATGTAGGTAGCTTGTTTAGGTATTTAGGTAGCTATTTAAGTACCTTAATTTAAGTTGGTCATAGCACTTATGAGGAAAAAAAATAGCAAGGAGAAATTTGTGATTACTGCCATTGGTTGAACAACTAATTTTTTTAGACAAAACATATCTTCAATCCGCCATCATTCTTAAATTGTAACTATACATAAAGGTTATGTTCTGTATGTGCTTCTTTCCACATTTTATTTATTTATTTTTTGAGACGGAGTCTCTCTCTTTCGCCCAGGCTGGAGTGCAGTGGCGCATCTCGGCTCACTGCAAGCTCTGCCTCCCGGGTTCACGCCATTCTCCTGCCTCAGCCTCCCAAGTAGGTGGGACTACAGTCGCCCGCCACTACGCCTGGGTAATTTTTTGTATTTTTTTTTTTTTAGTAGAGATGGGGTTTCACCATGTTAGCCAGGATGGTCTCGATCTCCTAACCTCATGATCCACCCACCTCGGCTTCCCAAAGTGCTGGGATTACAGGCATGAGCCGCCGTGCCCTGCCTCTACATTATATTTAAGTCATTGGAAGAATATTAAATGTGGAGTGCATATTTGATTTGCTTTGACAAAAAAGTAGGCTTTGTGCACCTCCGTTTTATATATTTATGTAGATTATCAAGGCAAATAAATTTAAGATTCTTGATCTATTGAATTTAAGATGGGACTGGTGTTTGGAAGCATACATTTACATGTCAAGTGCTTCCTCAAAATGTTTGGAAATATTTTAAAAATTGTTTGCTGTGGATTCAAATGCAAAATTATGGCAGAAAAGTGTCATTCCACAGATGAACAGATCATAGTTTAATGTCAACAAAGAGTTTAAAACAATGAGACTTTTTAAGGAATCATAATTCAGATATTAAAAACTAACACCAGGATTAACAGCACGGAATTTCAAAGTTATGCTATAAAAAGAGATCAGTGTCTATCTTGTGGTATATTTATCATACAGGTTCAAATTCAGTTCTGTACCGCCTACTTAAATGATGCCTATGTTTCAGTTATCTCATCCATAACAGTACCCTTTCACAGTAGATTTTTTTGGTGTGTAGATTAAAATGTTAATGTATTAAGGAAGTTAATGTATGTAATCTTTCTTTCACATCTGGAAAATTTCCTGTTCACCCACAGTATATCATCTTAAAATGTTTCTAAAAGAATTTTTTTGTGTATTTTAAATAATTTAATTTTTCTGGCTTTGCTACATGGGCAATCCTGTGTCTCAGCATTTTCTTAAGTGTAATATACTTTGTAAATCTCTTAAACCTCTTCAGGAGGGGAAGTTATCATATTTAGTACAACACCGTCCCCGGTTTCTGGTTTCCTCATATCACTAATATAAGACTATGTCTCTTTTCCAAATACAATATGTTGTGCTACCTTTAAAAAATAGAAACCAAAGAAAATGGGATAGGATCCTTTATTTTCCTCTGCAATGAGTGAGGAATCTTCCCATCATCACTAAAAACCTGGAAATAGGCTGATAGACAGGAACTCTAGTGTGAGGAGTATTCATTAAGGTTTCTTTTATAGTTTGTTAACATTTCCTGTCCAGAAATCAATTTAATATGCTTTGAACCAGGAGGTTCGCAGTTCAGGTCTTTTTCCTGAGGATAATAGCTAGCTATAGAATAATAGGCAAATGCTACTGTGTTGTCAGTTTCACGTTGGCATGCTTTGAGATACAAGACATTGCCTCTGGCATAGTTTTATTCTTTATTGGCATTCACTGGGATCTTTATCAAATTCTTGTTTCTATATCGAGTCTGCATCTCCTTCATGGTACCTCCTTATCCAGTCCTCCACACTTCCCTTTTTTCAGAAGGTCTTTACTTCCTTCTGTAGGGAAAGGGTGGAGAAGGAGAAATTGTAAATGCTCTTTTGTGCTCTTGTGAGGACAGATTGGTCTTCTTACACCTTGTAAGGACAGATGGGTCCTCCTATGCCTTGTGAGGACAGGTTGGTCCTCTTATGCCTGGAAATAGTATGCTGTCGTTTCTCCCCTCTAAGCTCTCATACAGTGTTCTTGCAGGGAAATACTCCAACTCAGTGGCATACAACAATACACTTGCATGACTCTGGGTGGTGGCTGTTCAGCTTATGGTTTCCATTGGGAGTGACTCTGAGTTTTGGATTGGATCTATGTCTGCTCCACCTTGAACTAGTGGCTACCCAAAGCATGTGCTTACAGAGAAAAATGGAGCTGAAAGAGGAGAAAAACATCCATGCAAACACATTTTAAACCTTGTTCACATCACGTCACTAATATCTCATTTGTCAAAGTAAGTCACAAGACCACACCCAAATTCCAGAGAATAGAACTATACTGTGCCCACCATGAGAGAATTACCAAGAGATAGATTTATAGTACTACTACAGAGAAGGGAAAAATTAGGTCTAATAATTCAAACTATCAGAGAGAGATAAAGATAAAACTTCACTCAGCAATGTATCCCTAATTATATTAAAATATCATATTTTCTTTCATATTGTGTCTTTTTTTTCTGGAACAGCAGAAACCAAAGTCTAGTCAAAACAAGGAGAAAAATGATGGAATAAATAAAGGCATTTCAGGGAAAATATAGTTTAGCCAAAGTACAAGATCAAAAATATAGATTCCGCCATGCATTTTAGGTTTTTTACTTTATTTTATTTTTCTTCTTTAACTTTTATTTTAGGTTCAGGGGTACATGTGCATGTTTGTTACATGAGTAAATTGCATATCACTGGCATTTGGAGTACAAATTACTTTGTACTACCTGTACATAACTACTACCTGTACACGGGTAGTGAGCATAATACCTGACAGGTAGTTTTTCCATCCCCACTTCTTCCCACCCCCAACCCTTAAGTAGGCCCTGGTGTCTACTCTTCCCCTCTTGTGTCCATGTATACTCATGTTTAGCTCTCCCTTACAAGTGAGAACATGAGGTATTTGGTTTTCTGTTCCTGCATTAATTTGCTTAGGATAATGAACTCCAGCTGCATCTGTGTTGCTGCAGATTGAAGAACATGGTTTTGTTCTTATTTATGGCTACATAATAGTCCACGGTGTATATGTACCACATTTTCTTCATTCAGTCCACCATCGATGGGTATCTAGATTGATTCTATGTCTTTGCTATTATGAATAGTGCTGTGATGAACTTATATGTGTCTTTTCTGGTAGAATGATTTATATTCTTTTGTGTATATACCCAGGAACAGGATTGCTAGGTCTAATGGTAGTTTTGTTTTAAGGTCTTTGAGAAATCTCCAAAACTGATTTCCACAGTGTCTGAACTAATTTACATTCCCACTAGCAGTGTATAAGCGTTCCCTTTTCTCTGCAACCTCTCCAATATCTATTATTTTTTGACATTTAATAATAGTCATTCTGATTAGTGCAAGATGGTATCTCTTTAGGGTTTTGATTTTCATTTCTATGATGATTAGTGATGTTGAACATTATTTTCATGTGCTTTTTGGCCACCTGTATGTCTTCTTTGGAGAAGTGTTTATGTCCTTTACCTATTTTCTAATGAGGTTGTTTTCTTTTTGCTTGTTGAATTAAGTTCCTCATAGATTCTGGATATTAGAACTTTGTCAGATGCATAGTTTGCAAATATTTCTTCCCATTCTGCTTTTCATAGAATTAGAAAAAAAAACTATTTTAAAGTTCGTAGGGAACCAAAAGAGAGTCCAAATAGCCCAAGCAATCCTAAGCAAAAAGAAGAAAACTGGAGGCATCACACTTCCTGACTTCAAACTACACTACAAGGCTACAGTAACAAGGACAGCTTGGTACTGGTACAAAGACTGACACATAGAGCAATGGACTAGGTTAAGAATCCAGAAATAAAGCTTCACACAAACAACCATCTGATCTTTGACAAAGTTGACAATAACAAGCAATGGGAAAAAGACTCCCAATTCAATAAATAATGTTGGGATAACTGGTTGGCCAGTTCAATATGTGGAAGATTGAAACTGGACCCCTTCATTTCACCATATACAAAAATCAACTCAAGATATAGTAATGACTTAAATATAAGCCCTAAAACTCAAAAAACTCTAGAAGAAAATACCATTCTGGACATAGGTCTTGGCAAGATTTCATGATGAAGTCTCCAATAGCAATCGCTACGAAAACAAAACCAGACAACTGAGGCTTAATTAAACTAAAGAGCTTCTGCATAGCAAAAGAAACTATGAACAGAGTAAACGTTTGAGTTGTCTTGGCTCTTATGGAGCTTCCTTCTCTTTCCTTTCTGTATTAGTAATATTTGGAAATGGATGTCGTCTAATCTTTTCCTCTCTCCAAAACAAGGTAAGCCCTGAGGCTCTAACTTATCCTGAAGAACAGGAAGTGGGCTGCTTTCAAGGAGCCATTCAAGGAAAAAATTACTTTATGGCTAAGGGTCTTGGAAGCAAGAGTTGCTCTAAGCATTAGGTCTGAGGGTGCAGATGTAGAGTAATAACTAGATTTGAAGTTTGGGGTTCATAATGAGAAACAGGTAAGAGTGAGCCAGCATTTCAATGGGTAAAGCTGCAAGATATTTTTTATAGATGCAAAAGAGGTAGAGATTATTTTACTGAATGCCTACAGCTGAATCTGTGCGTTGAGGAGGTTGATCTTTACAATTCCAAGTCTGCTTGATACATTTGCCTCTTTTATTGCAGGTTCCTTTGTTTCTAAAGCATTAACAGGAACTGGGGACTGAAAGTGGTAAGCTTCCTAGTTAGCACTGTTAAACTTTCTGTTTCATGGAGAAGAGGTACCTGTGAGGACTTTATTCTGATTTTTAATTCAAAGCCAAGGTTTCAGTGCAAGGATGATAGCCAAGATTAAAGAATATTCTTGTGGTTGAAGTTGCCATTATGTTATATATCTCAGAAATTGTAGCAGAGCAGTTACTGAGGGGCACACATTGGCTTGGTTGTATAAAATCTTTAGATCCAGTTGGTACTTACAATTCACTTTTGCATTCTAAGATTGTAGAGATATGAAGATTCAAAACAACACTAATGAGACATAAACTCTAACAATATGACCACTTCTGTAATATCTTTCAGTGTCTATGAAAGCATTCTCAGTTGATGTGCTGTTTCTCTCCCTTCAGTATTCTAATTTACATAAGCTTGCTGCTCTCTCCAATTCTTCTATTTGTATGAGGCAATATTCTCTTATGTTATCTTAAAATGTGATCTTTCTTTTGCACTTCCTTCGCTGTATATTATCCTGTTTACTGCCTTTTTAAACTAAAAGATATCATGACACTTATTAACAAAAAATAAGCTTTACACATTTGTTAGAAATTGAAGGGATACATATGAAGAATATCAGTGCAACAGTATGCCAAATTATATTGCTTGAAAATCACTGTGAATCACTAAAAGATAAGACTACAGATACTTATTTAAGAAAACAATTTATTTCTAACATCTTGCAATAGATCATATTTACCCAGGAAGTACTGATCAAAAAACAATCAACCCTTTCTTCCATGAGAATCTAAACAATTATGGTCCCTTAGAAAGTACAAAAGCCTGAGTTTGGGAATGTAGGCGGCTATAGGTTTTCTAGAAATATTTAAATAGAATCTAAGGCATACTATGGGCCTAGAAACCCAATGCATTCTTTGGCTTTGGTGAGTAAAACTTGATATGGGTAACTTTGCTAAAGAGTTCACAGTCCTAGTTCATTTTGGACTAAGATGGCATATAAGTCATTAAATCAATGAGACTATTTAAAGTGCTTTAAAAATAAAATACCCTAAATATAGCTTAGGCATTACCTTGCCTCAAAGGAAGTTCCTCCATATCATTAATAGAAAAAAGGTTCATACTTAGGCCGTGAGGCAATTTCACACTCACCGCAAACTTCCAGTCAGGATGATAAACTACATTTTGGTCTATAGCAGCATAGACAAATGGCCAGAGTCCTTCCTTAGATCTTCAAAGTGAACAACACGAACACTGACAAGCTCAGGGACAGTATGAAGGTACTCTCTGTTCCTGGTCTTGTTGGCGAAAAGAGGAGTCAAGGCCTTTGATAATGTAAAAAATAATATGGTATAAGAAACTGTGATATCAGCACAGAAAGTCCTGATGATCAGAAGGTTCTACTTGTTCCTTCCTTTCCTGTGATGTAAAAGCCATGACAAATCAATTGTGTCAATATTTGAAAAGTTGCCACATTTGGATAGCAGTCTCATTCAATTAACATCTTAGATTAGTCTTCTGTGATTTGGTAGTATTTTCAGGTGTTATTAGTGAACAGATCACTAATTTTTATGCCAGAGAAATCATAGTTATTTTGGATACGGGATTTTTCATGGCTTTAGACTTATAAACTTCACACCTTTTAATAGGACAAAGAGATATATGTGGCAGATTTCACTCTGAGAATTGTTTAACTGACAATCTTAATAATTTGAGGTATAAGCTCTTGTAAGTATATTATTGAAAACACCTTATTAAAACAACAATAACAACAACAGCAAATTGTTAGGCAGGAGGACAGATGCAGATGTAGAAATCTTTAAGTGGTATTAATCTTACCAATTTTGAAATTATATGAATTGCATAAATATTTCAAATAAAAATCAGTCCATCACAACACCAGCATGTTAGATCAACTACTTCCTTAAATGGAAATCAAAAGCAAACATCAG
The DNA here is from genome assembly GCF_000001405.40 of Homo sapiens. NCBI lineage: Eukaryota > Metazoa > Chordata > Mammalia > Primates > Hominidae > Homo > Homo sapiens. Next base: position 188,657,184 of record NC_000002.12, read on the forward strand.
GAAGAGTTTTTCAATACTGCTTTAAATTTGGCCATCATAACTTTACCACTTTTAAAACTTTTATAATTGTTATTCCTATTTTGTGGAAAGAAAATATGTGGTTAAGAAGGGTTACAGTGTTTAAATAACAAGGTCACTATGTGACAAAGCTGGGAGGTGAATGTAGATCTGTGTGATTCCAGAGTCTGGATGTTTCCTTATCCACCATTTCATACAGCATCCTCTGTGAAGTAATATATTTTCTCCTATATAGAAGAAAATTATGCACCTTTTACAATTGACTGAACTCATTATTCAGATTTCATAAAATTCATTTGTTTTATTAGCAGGAGCAGATAATAACTGAATAGTTGCATGCCAGACTTAAATGCATATTGCTTTTAGAAAATCATTTCATATGGCTTTTTGAAACGTTAATGAAAAAAGTACAATTTGTATATTTCTGAGATAATTGAACAAACTCTGTAAACCTGCTGTGTAGTTTTAGTTTTTATATTTCTAATTAAAAAGTAATCTCATTTTATATTTTCTCTGTTTAATGTTACTAAAAGTTTATGAAGTTGATCTTAAATGCACATGTTGGTATACAAAAATAAAATGTTTTGCGTATATTTATAATTAATGTATTTGGAAATCATTTGAGTTGTTTTAATCTAGTTTATGAAAATCATAATGATTTGAAGATGTTTTGAAAGGCAGATGCTAGGGATATGAAGTTATATTTTTATAGCAGAAGAATATTACAATAAGAAGATAATACATAATTTATGAAAATGTTTTCAGCTGTCATCAACACATAAAGATTAGAAAAAGTAGAATCTAAAGTTAATTACATTTTCTGTTTAGTTTGGATGGAAAGTAAATTGTCAATATGAAATTTAACTGTTTATCAAACTAACTGGGTAGGTATTTATCAATTAAAATATTGCCATTGTTGATTTTGTGATATGCCAAATTTTTCTAATATTTTAGGAGAAATTTAAAACTTCCAAACAATATTAATTTTGTTTTAAAATATATGATATACTTTAACCAAAATGACTTTATTCTAAAGATATTCTCCTCTAACAACATGGACCAGGACCTAAAAACTTGACCGATTAAGGTGTCAGCTGAAGGGATTTCAGAATCAAGATAATTATAGTGATAACAATGAAAATAATAGAAGATAGGAAAATATATATTCTAGGATTCATGGACTTTTTCAGTTCCTAAGGAAACCATGAATTTTTTTCTCGTTCCTAGGAAAACATAGATATACCATTGCTAAGAATTTATTTGTGCATGCTTTGAAGATCACAGGATTCTGTTAACAAACCAACCTAAAAAACTGTCCCCTTTGTTAGGAAAAGCATTTCCAGAATAATTTAATTTGTCTTTATGCTTGGAAAATGGAAAATAAGGGGAGGCATCAGTCATTGTACCCAAAATATTTTTCTTTTACTTTATAAAATTTATTTAGTTTCATTGTGCTTTTATTTCTTCAGGAATCTTCTTCCACTTCATTCATTCAGTGGTTGTGCTCCAAAAGTGTTTACAGATTTTTGTTTATCTTGTTATGTATTGCTTAAAATAAGGGCACATTGGAATTCTTAAAGTTGTAAGTAACAGAAATGGGCTTTATTTAGTCAGCTAAAAGTGAGTTTATACTAAGGATACAATAAAGAGCAAAGACGAACAGGAAATGATTACACTGTACAATCACTGATACTGATACAGTTCTTAACAAACTTAGCAGGAGAAAAGGAGAGAAAACACAAATAACCTCATAAACAATGAAAAAGGGAATACCATTACTGACCCTGCAGACACTGGAAAAGATACTACCACAAACAACTCCATGCACATAAATTTGACAATTTAGATGAAATAGACCAATCCCTTGAAGATACAAATTACCAATAGATAATCTGAACATTTATCAATCTCATACATGAAAATTATATATAAAAATTGTCTCCCTAAAAAAACACATTAGGTCCAGATGGCTTCGTGGGCTATTTATATCAAACAATTATGGATAAAAAAATATCAATTCTACAGAAATTATTTGAGAAAAGAGAGGAGGTTGGAATAATTCCCAACTCACTTTAGGATATATGCATTAGCCTGAAACCAAAACAAAACAGACATTACAAGAAATGAAAACTGCAGACAAATGCATCTTAAGAGGAGGATTTTTGTTTTCTAAAATGAGAGTAAAGTTACATAAAAACACTTAAACCTAAATAAAGTACTGGTAATCTAAATGTGTATATTTCACCTAAATTTAAATATCTTTATAGATATTTTTGTTAAAATGAAGGGCAGCAATTAATAATCTAAAACAGAAAATTATGAAGTTTTTTGAGAGTTTCTATTTCATTTTGCTCATTTTGGCACATGACACTAGATTTTTTCACTCATAGGAGACTAACCAATTAAAGTTGGATGCAGTATTTTAAGATTAATTTTGAAATTGAAATCCAAAATATTAATTCCTTAAAAAGTTTTAATACTTGAATGGTGTGGAGTGCAAGGTATGAGCATATGATAAGAAACTGAGATTAGGTAACTAGCTAAAGGAGAATGACAGTGAGATTAAGATGGAAGAGAACAGAAATTTTTTATAGTCTGAGTCATTGTATGCTTCATTGTAGTGTCCCCTGAAACTACTGTCCCATAGGATTTGCCCAGGGAGATGACTGGGTTAGAAGGAATTTCTGAGGGAGAAGGTTGAGTTAGAAGAAATTTTAATCTATTCAAGGGTCTGACTACAGTTGGGTCCAGTCTCCGTACATCAAGATTACCACATAGTCTTGCACTACATCTTGAATAGCCTCTTCTTGAGCCTGTCAAATATCAAACTTCTTAATACATTATTTCCCATTCTTTGTTCCTCATCTCACTGTACACCCCCATACCCAAATACCAGTGTATTACTAAAAAAGTAACTGAATTTTTTTAATTGCAGAAAATGATAATGCATATTGAAGATAGAATAAGGACTGCTCTTTGAAGAATTCAAACACATGCATATTTTAAATAACAAAATTGTTTACATTCCAGAATCCCTAGGCTTCCTTTCCTAATATACTTTGCTTGATGTTGCAAGTGCTTTAATGTTTGCAAGGAAAGGGGCCTTCATTTAAAGTTGACATGGATTCTTTCTTCTGGTTTTTTTTTATTATTATTATACTTTAAGTTTTAGTGTACATGTGCACAATGTGCAGGTTAGTTACATATGTATACATGTGCCATGCTGGTGTGCTGCACCCATTAACTCGTCATTTACGTTAGGTATATCTCCTAATGCTATCCCTCCCGCCTCCCCCCACCCCACAACAGGCCCCAGAGTGTGATGTTCCCCTTCCTGTGTCCATGTGTTCTCATTGTTCAATTCCCACCTATGAGTGAGAACATGTGGTGTTTAGTTTTTTGTCCTTGCGATAGTTTACTGAGAATGATGATTTCCAGTTTCATCCATGTCCCTACAAAGGACATGAACTCATCATTTTTTATGGCTGCATAGTATTCCATGGTGTATATGTGCCACATTTTCTTAATCCAGTCTATCATTGTTGGACATTTGGGTTGGTTCCAAGTCTTTGCTATTGTGAATAGTGCCGCAATAAACATACATGTGCATATGTCTTTATAGCAGCATGATTTACAGTCCTTTGGGTATATACCCAGTCATGGGATGGCTGGGTCAAATGGTAGTTCTAGTTCTAAATCCCTGAGGAATCGCCACACTGACTTCCACGGTGGTTGAACTAGTTTACAGTCCCACCAACAGTGTAAAAGTGTTCCTATTTCTCCACATCCTCTCCAGCACCTGTTGTTTCCTGACTTTTTAATGATTGCCATTCTAACTGGTGTGAGATGGTATCTCATTGTGGTTTTGATTTGCATTTCTCTGATGGCCAGTGATGGTGAGCATTTTTTCATGTGTTTTTTGGCTGCATAAATGTCTTCTTTTGAGAAGTGTCTGTTCATGTCCTTCACCCACTTTTTGATGGGTTGGTTTGTTTTTTTCTTGTAAATTTTTTTTGTTTCTAAAGCAGATTCTTTATTACGATAACTTGCACAGAGTGTGACAGTATAAGAATCTTATTAAGATAATGAAGATTTTTGATGTATAAATAAAATATGTTTCAAAATTTGCAGAAGCAGTGCTTAGAAGTTAAATTCTCTCACTATTGGTATCTTGGTAGAAATTGTGCATAATCTTAATATTTCCACATATACTGATCTCCATTTTAGAGATTGGCTTTAATAGTTAATAATAATTGATAAATCCAGCTTCTGGAACCTCATCTGGACAAAGATCACTGTTATACTTTGGGAAAATGAAGGAATGACTCACAATTTAACTTTAGGAGTAAGAAGTTTTGGGAATAGGCTCCATTTTCCTGCTCCCATCTACAAATTTTATAAACAAAGTAAGGAGAATGAATTCTAGGAACGATGAACATTCTCTGCCACATCATTAATCGTTCTTCATCCTACTTTCCTAAATATTATTGACAAATATTACTTGCTGATGTTAGTTCACAATTAATTATCTTTGACATTATAGGCTTATATCCATTTACAAATTCATGTACTGTCATTAATCTTATGATTTCATGAGAGAACAGATATTCATGCTTTAAAGCTTTCATTAGAAAATCTCTATGAAATTCAATAAACATAAATTCTTAAATAAACAGTAGACCATATGGTCAGTCGTTGTCAACAATGTAGTTAGAAAATTTTTGGTGTAATACCTATAAAATAAAATTTACTATTTTAACCATTTTAAAATGTACAATTGCGTGGCATTTAGGACATTAACAGCATTATGCAACACTATCTAGTTCCAGAGCATTTTTCATCACCCCAAAAGAAAATTCAATACCTATTTAGCAGTCATCCCACATTCTGTCTAATCCCTAGCCCTCGACAGCCATTATTCTGTTTTCTGTCTCTAGCACTTGTCTATTTTGGGTATTGCATATAAATGGAATCATTCTATACATGTCGTTTTGTGTCCGCCTTCTTTCACTTAGCATGTTTTCAAGGTTTATCTATGTTGCAACGTGGATCAGTACTTCATTCCTTTTTATGGTTAAATGATATTCCATGTAACCATTCCAAAATGGATATACCACATTTCGTTTATGCATTGATGGACAATTGAGTTGTTCTTATCTTTTGACTATTATAAATAGTGCTGCTGTGAACATTCTTATATAAGTTTTTGTTGAACACTTCTTTTAAATTCATTTGGATATATACTTAGGAGGGAAATTGCTGTCACATGGTAATTCTATGTTTAACTTATTGAAGAACTAATAAGCTGTTTTTCACAGTGGCTTCACCATTTTACATTCTCATCAGCAGATATGAGGGTTCTGGTTTCTCCACATTTTTACATTTTCCAGTTTTTCAATTCTAGCCATCCTAGTGATTGTGAATGTGGTATCTTGTTGTGATTTTGATTTGAAAAATACATTTTAAACAATATATTGATATATATGGAGAGAAAAAAGTTATAAAATGTATCTTATCAAGCTCAAATTTCTTTTATTGCACATAAAATTTGACTACAGGTAAATTAGACATGAGTCTATGGAGGAAATAGTTTTGTTTAAAAATATGGCAAATTTAGAAAAGAATGTGGTGATTGGAACCAAATTCAATCCTATGCATAAACTATATATGCATTTTTCTCTGGTGGTTACCTACTGTTGCAATCCTATTCATAAACTGTGTATACATTATTCTCTGGTGATTACCTACTATTGAAGTAAAATTCTCTTGTGAATTCCTAATGAGAAATCTAATTTATAAAGATAAAAATATGTGAGAAAACATTTGAATTCCCAAAATTTGATGCCAAGTACTTTTCCTTCTTTTCAGCATACTAATGAAGTGATCAGATAGAATTTTTAAAGTACATTTCTGCTTTTTCCTGTTGTGTTTTACCAATAAATTCTAATATTCGAAAAACTCAAATAGTTGACATTCTTTTCCTGAGTGATCTAAGACTTATCTTACTTAAATGGGGGTCATTTAAGTAAGATAAGCTTCAATCTCAGGTCATATCTACATTGAAAAGGTGAAACTATCAAATATGCAAACTTCCCTTCATTTGACTATATAGCTTAAACTTCACACTGTGGCACTAGTAGGTCCCAAGGAGCTTTTCTTGAAATGTCTGTATTGATGCATTTAGAGAGATTCTGTGGGTCTTTACTGTCAGTATATTTCCTGTCTGCGACATCTTGCTAGTAAACAGCATGAGTAAAATGAGCAGCTGTACAGATGGCTTCAACAGTTTCAGAAAGAATATATATTAATGTGAGGTCAAGTTTTGCTCTGCTTGATAAATGTGGAAACAAGTAAATGATACATCAAATAGTTCTAGAGATGCTTTTTATTTGACAACACATCTGGAGCCCATAAATATAATTTCGTATTTTTGTTCTGCTGGGAAGAAGATACCATTAAAGATGCTCTGAGACCTAGTTATTCAACATGAGATGGGTGTAATCACACCATTTTCTAATATACTTTTGCCTAAGTAGTACATTCCTTGTGTGAAATGATGGGAAATATAAAAGAAATAAATGTTGACTTATCTTTGGTTTTATAACTGAGTACTTAAAAAAATAAAAATAAGCAGAGATAAGTAATACATTTCACAAAGAATAAGCAACTAAAAGTAAAAGGAAAATAGCTGATGAGGCTTTATTAAAATGAAAAAGATGAAAAATATGAGTATATAAAAATTATGTCACAGGCACAAATATAAATTACTTATTATATTATATGTATTTATGTGTTTATATATTTTGATGCTTATTTAATTTAATTATGTGAAAAACATAACTGAGAAATCATGTGTCCCTTTGTCATTGAACTTCACATAAATGATTCAGTGAATATTTTTTCGGTGTCTTTTTCATGTAACAGGGTATTTGCTTTAAATTGCTTTCTAAATAAATGATAATATAAAACTAAAACCTTTTGGGAGACAATGACCTTAAGCAGGACATACTACGTGAAGATTTCACCTAATATTAGAGAATGAACAATTTAACAGGTGGGCCTGCTGTTTACCTGTTACCCGTCAGTGACTCACAGGATGAAGTCTGGGACACTCTCCCATTATGCATGTGCCTGTATTTACCGTCCATGGCATCCCTTCTATTGACCTCTTCGTTTATGCCAATATAATGCGCAGTCATTTTACTTTTGGTCTCTTTCAAACACATGGAACTTGAATATTTTTAAAAAATGATTTTATTATTTAATTAGGTGTCAACTTGATATGTGTGCATGTCTACAACACAGTAACTAAATGCAGCTGCCTCTTTGGGAATTATGACATCTTGTTGTTGTTAGGAGCCAAGGGGAGTGGCTGCAAAGTAACTGGGTGGCTTAAGGGGAAGAACATAGAGCATTTCTTCTGAAAACAGGAGAAAGATACGCCAAAATCCTTGGTCAGTTCTCACTGTGTGAGCCAATTTGCCACATCACGTATCCCCACTTCACAGGGGCCATGTAAAAATGAGTAATAATGATAAAGGAAATTGATTCCCTGAAGAAGTTGAATGAGTCTCCATATTTTTCTATATTGTTTATCAAAATGGCAAAGCTGAAACATTTATTTTCAAGGACAATATCAACTATAAAGGAAACATTCTTTACTATAAACTTGTGACTGTAATTAGGTATGAAATGTAAGCTAGATAGTCTCTTCTTGTTTTTATTACTGTCTCTGGGGGAGATGATATCCCACATGGATAGATTTTCCAAGTAACCAAAACATGCTCTATTAAACACAAAAGGTTTTCATCTATTTTAAATGTCTTGCATCTTGGATATCTTTCTGAAATGCATTGTTCCAAGTTGACTTAAACAGATAATATAGGCGGTAATAAAATATGTTTTTCTAAATTGTTTTTAACCATATTCAGCAGTATAGTAGCAATCATAAAAGTTATCCTTGACTAAGGTTTAGTTTATGCCAGGGATTCTGCTAAACATTTTATGTGGATTATATTTCTTAAATCTTAAAATTAGTCTAAAGGGTAGAGAAGAGCTTGCTTGCCTAAGGTAATATTATTGGGAGAGGAAGTGGAATGTGAACCAGGTCAATTTAAATGTGCCTGACTCCAGAGACTGTTTTGTTGACCATGAAAGGTTGCATTTTTTTAAAAAAATGTAGTTTTACTTTTTTTTCTTTCCCTGGTTGTGAGTCAGTCTCTCTCTCTCCTGCAGCTATTGTGTCTGGAGCTCTGTCATCCTCATCGTCTTCTTGTAGTTTTGCTTTTTCAAATCTGTAGCAAGGACAAATATGCAAGTGTCTTAAAGGGGTTGTTATGGATATCATTTGGAGTCCGAAATTATAAATCTTTAGCTTTCTCTATCACATAGAGAAATGTATTTATCTTAATATTTGTTTCACAACAGTGCTTAGAAGTCTAAAACTGGTTGGATATTATTGTACAGAAACTATTTTTTCATTTCTGTTATTAAGTTTAATAATCCAATAATTTTATGAGGAAGCTTTTCTCCTTTGGAAAACTAGAATTCAACAAGACATAACACTTATTCACTATATATTTTTCATTTCTATTATAAGCTAAGTTGCTGAGTAGGAAAGAAAAAAGACATCTTTTCCTACACAGAGCTTAAAGTCTAGAGGGTAGAAGGATAATCATGATTTTGTATTTATGTCAAGTTTACTTATAAATAAATAGAGGATACATTTCTGTCTACCCATTATATCAAATAGTTTCTTCCCTCCCTTCCTTTCCTTCCTTCCCTTCCTTCCCTTTCCTTCCTTCCCTTCCTTCCCTTTCCTTCCTTCCTTCCTTCTTTCCTCCCTTCCCTCATTCCCCCTTCCCTCCTTCCCTCCCTCCCTCCTTCCTTCCCTCCCTCCCTTCCTTCCTTCCTTCTTTCCTCCCTTCCCTCATTCCTCCCTTCCTTCATTCCTCCCTTCCCTCCTTCCCTCCCTTCCCTCCTTCCCTCCCTCCCTCCCTCTCTCTCTCCTTCCTTCCTTCCTTCCTCCCTCCCTCCCTCCCTTCCTCCCTTCAATATGGAAAAGTTATTAACAGAGATTTGTTTAACAAATTCTAGATAGTAAATAAAAACCCAGTCACACATTACAAGTTTGAGATAATTTATTAATTTTATACATAACTATATATATATAGTCACTATATATGTAGTGATGCCTTCTCTGCGGATCCCTCTAGTTTTGTAATGCTCCCTCAAATTTATATATATATATATTTAAATATATATATGTAAATTCTACATAGCAGAGGTGTTAAGTTCTGTTCTAGCAAGCAGTTAACTTCCTAGATGATGATCTTGATCCAATGCTGGCTTGGTTTTAGACTTTGTTGGGCTGGTCTGTTCCAGGTTTGCCCTTACCTATTGGGCATGGCATTTACTCCTTGGGCATTGTTCTGGGAGTAAGGATGTGCTCTTTAGTGCCTCAACTGAATGCCTAGGATATTCACCTAAATTCTTCTCTCTTCTTGCTCCAGTCTCCCAGGTGTCTCCTCAGCATTGAACAATCTCTGAAGTCACTGCCTCCCAGCACTGCTCAGGTTGGTCCTCAGAATTACACCTTGTGAATTTGCAATTTAGGAGGTGACTAAGAAGCAGAAGTAAATTTTTATGCAGATTTTGTGACTCCTTCTCTGTGGGTTCCTCTACTTTTGTAATGCTCCCCCAAGTTTCAGCTGCCTTGGCAGCCTCAGATATTGATCTCTATTTATCCCTCCTAGGAAAATGCTGCTCTTTGCTTGGCTCTCTTTCTCTGGCTTGTAATTTTCAAAATTACAAGGGCATCCTATAACACTGGAATCCATAAACTTCGGTTAAAAATTTTTATTTTAAAATCAAGATTGTCTATTGGTGTAAAACTAAAACAACTAAAACCAGAAAGTTGAGAATATGCAACAATGCATGTGACATAAACAGTTAGGTTTTAAGTATGACATTTCATTAATATTTTTTCATGTTCCACCACAATTAGAAAATATGACAGGCTGGATTTGCCCATTGTAAGTATGAGCATACACCATGTTATTTGTGGTGAACTAAAGTAAAAAATTAAGATATTAAATTTTTATAAAACATAAAAAATGGGAAAACAGTTGAAATATTTCAACTCATGAATAATTTATCAGTTCTCTGTTGAGAGTATTTTCTTAAATATATTCAAAATTATTGACACACTGAGAGGATGGTTTGTATAATTTGATTCCAGCCTGCTTCTTTCTATCATGTCCCTTTCACTGATAATCTGAGTCAAAGTGTTGGTTTCCTGACATTTAGAGTGTTTTGGGGGGTATGAGTAAATATTAGAATGATTTAGATGATAAATTAGAGCACCACTCCATGTAGGGAATAATTTTAAAATAATTTTAACTTACTAGATTGGATAACTTATGTTCACAATATCCTACATAAATATAAACAAACATGCTAATTGATATTTGATATTTTTCACTATATAATTTATATAACACAGATAAATATTATCCTTCATGTTCTAATACCAATGTTCATGGAACCAATTTCAGTCAGATTGAACATAAGTTTTTGACAATGGAGACACTGCTTTGCCTTTCTCCTTTTGGTTTTATTCATCTCAGAAACAGCAGGGATTTTATAGCTCAGTAAGTGTGCAGCAGATCTTAGTTCTGGTTAGAAAAGTGTTGGAGACTGTAGTTGTGAGTTGAGAAACATTATTTTCAATGTGTTCTACTAAATACATTTAATAATACAGTTTTTAGACAGGTTACAAGGTAAAGACATTGGATTCTCTGAATTTTTAGTTTAAAAGAGCATGTAGATAAAGTGAATTAAAGGGCTATATTATGCACACAGTCTTATTAAGTCACCGAATTTTTAAGTACATTTAAAGGAACCAACAGCAAACACTTGCAAGATGCAAAATATTGCAGCTAAGACTCAGAATGGAAAGTATTACAGCATACAGAGCAGAACTAGATTTCAAAGGACTGGAGGCATGCCAAAGCTCCTTTGAAAATGCTCAAGTACCACATACCTAGGGCTCCCACTTGCAACAGACTCATAAGAAAAAAAAATAAATAACATAAAAACGAAGGCTGTGTGCATACCACATGTAGTGAAAAGCTGCCCCACCAAAGCAAAACTGGAGAAAAGAGCATCACAGCATTATTCTTCATTTTGGAAGCAACCAGTAAAAGAAGAGGAAGCACAATTGTACCTGTTTCCTAAAAAATCTGCAATGCCATAAGACTCTGACTCATCTTGGTTAGAGCCTAGTTTAGCAAGTTTTTTGGAAGTTTCTATGATTGTTCATTTTTGTCATTGCCAAAGGTTAATCTTTGACTATCCTCCAGATTATTCCAGAAGCCTGTTTTGAAGTTAATATAAAAATCAACCCTTACTGGCAAAACTTTTCCAACATGACAAATGTAAACTTTTTTTGAAGGCAGACGCCACGATCTTCCTGGTTCCCAGTGCATTCCTCAACCATAACCCCTACAGATAGTGAGCACTCAGTAAACGTTGCTACTAATATTAATTCTGTTGCATATGTAAATTTTACCATCATATAAGAAAGACAAGTCATCTGTTTAATGCTGTGATCATAGTACTTCATCTAACTAAAATGTCAGTTAATTTTTGCTGCATAGGAAAAATCCCAAAACATAGGAGATTAAAACAACACTTACTTACTAATGGTTCTGTAAGTTATCAATTTCAGCCAGGCTGCCCAGTGTGCTGACCTGGGCAAGGCCTAGCCCATTTTGACTAAGATTTCTCATAGGTCTGTAGTCAGTTGACAAGTTAGCTAAGGGCTGGCTGATCAAAAATGAGTAGATATTACAGAGTATGGTTTGGGAGGGCAATAATTTGTGGCACTTATTTTGCTGCTGATCACAAATATATTTTTTAAAATCATAGATTTAACTAATAGTTTTCATTGTGCTATTTCAGTAAACACAATAGCCCGTTTTGGGACTTGTGGGTGATACCTACACATGTTCAACTTGGCTAATTCTCTGATTCAGGGAGTGGCATCTACAGCCCACACTCCAAATTGAGCCTACTCTGTTTTGTTTTTGTTTTTGTTTTGTAAATAAGGTTTTAATGAAAATAAACACATTTGTAGCATAGTTTGAAGTCAGGTAGCATGATGCCTCCAGCTTTGTTCTTTTGGCTTAGGATTGACTTGGCAATGCAGGCTCTTTTTCGGTTCCATATGAACTTTAAAGTAGTTTTTTCCAATTCTGTGAAGAAAGTCATTGGTAGCTTGATGGGGATGGCATTGAATCTATAAATTACTTTGGGCAGTATGGCCATTTTCATGATATTGATTATTCCTATCCATGAGCATGGAATGTTCTTCCATTTGTTTGTATTCTCTTTTATTTCGTTGAGCAGTGGTTTGTAGTTCTCCTTAAAGAGGTCCTTCACATCCCTTGTAAGTTGGATTCCTAGGTATTTTATTCTCTTTGAAGCAACTGTGAATGGGAGTTAACTCATGATTTGGCTCTCTGTTTGTCTGTTATTGGTGTATAAGAATCCTTGTGATTTTTGCGCATTGATTTTGTATCCTGAGACTTTGCTGAAGTTGCTTATCAGCTTAAGGAGATTTTGGGCTGAGACCATGGAGTTTTCTAGATATACAATCATGTCATCTGTAAACAGGGACAATTTGACTTCCTCTTTTCCTAACTGAATACCCTTTATTTCTTTCTCCTGCCTGATTGCCCTGGCCAGACTCAGTAACCAAAACAGCATGGTACTGGTACCAAAACAGAGATATAGACCGATGGAACAGAACAGAGCCTTCAGAAATAATACTACACATCTACAACCATCTGATCTTTGATAAACCTGACAAAAACAAGAAATGGGGAAAGGACTCCCTATTTAACAAATGGTGCTGGGAAAACTGGCTAGGCATATGTAGAAAGCTGAAACTGGATCCCTTCCTTATACCTTATACAAAAATCAATTCAAGATGGATTAAAGACTTAAATGTAAGACCTAAAACCATAAAAACCCTAGAAGAAAACCTAGGCGTTACCATTCAGGACATAGGCATGGGCAAGGACTTCAGGTCTAAAACACCAAAAGCAATGGCAACAAAAGCCAAAATTGACAAATGGGATCTAATTAAACTAAAGAGCTTCTGCATAGCAAAAGAAACTACCATCAAAGTGAAAAGGTAACCTACAGAATGGGAGAAAATTTTTGCAATCTATTCATCTGACAAAGGGCTAATATCCAGAATCTACAAAGAACTCAAACAAATTTACAAGAAAAAAACAACCCCATCAACAAGTGGGTGAAGGATATGAACAGACACTTCTCAAAAGAAGACATTTATGCAGCCAACAGACACATGAAAAAATGCTCATCATCACTGCCCATCAGAGAAATGCAAATCAAAACCACAATGAGATACCATCTCACATCAGTTAGAATGGCAATCATTAAAAAGTCAGGAAACAACAGGTGCTGGAGAGAATGTGGAGAAATAGGAACACTTTTACACTGTTGGTGGGACTGTAAACTAGTTCAACCATTGTGGAAGACAGTGTGGCGATTCCTCAAGGATCTAGAACTAGAAATACCATTTGACCCAGCAATCCCATTACTGGGTATATACCCAAAGGATTATAAATCATGCTGCTATAAAGACACATGCACACGTATGTTTATTGCGGCACTATTCACAATAGCAAAGACTTGGAACCAACCCAAATGTCCAACAATGATAGACCAGATTAAGAAAATGTGGCACATATATACCATGGAATACTATTCAGCCATAAAAAATGATGAGTTCATGCCCTTTGTAGAGACATGGATGAAGCTGGAAACCATCATTCTCAGCAAACTATCGCAAGGACAAAAAACCAAACACCTCATGTTCTCAATCATAGGTGGGAATGGAACAATGAGAACACCTGGACACAGGGCAGGGAACATCACACACCAGGGCCTGTTGTGGGGTGGGGGGAGTGGGGAGGGATAGCATTAGGAGATATACCTAATGTAAATGACAAGTTAATGGGTGCAGCACACCAACATGGCACATGTATACATATGTAACAAACCTGCACGTTGTGCACATGTACCCTAGAACTTAAAGTATAATAAAAATATATATATAAAGAAAATAAACACATTTATTTATTTATTTATTGTTTCTTACTATTTTCATGCTCCAATGGCAGAATTCCATAGTTATGATAGAGAACATGTTTCACAAAGGCCAAATATCTACTATGTGGTCCCTATCTACTCTGATTTTTTCCTGAATAAAGATCAATATGGGCATATATTTTCAGAGCTTTCAATATTTTATTATTATAAATAACAATATAATAATGATAGAGTACTTCCTTTGTGCTGGGTACTATTCTAATATCATTTATTTCAACTAATTTAATCTTCATGAATGCCTTATGATGTACAGTTATCATCACTTTATAAATGAAGAAACTGAGGCACAGAAAAGTTAAACGTCTTCTCTTATTGAACTCAGAATAGGATTAAATTCATTTTCCATGGCTTGTAAGTCATAGTTTATCTTCCCCATGAGTTTCTATTTCATGTAAGAACAACCATTTTTAACAGTCTCAGCCATACTAACTTTCCTTCAATTTCTTAAAAATGCTGAGCTCTTAACTTCTTTATGATCTTTACATATGAAATTTACTTTTTATGGAGTAATTTCCATACCATTATATCTGGCTTCTTATTGCTTAAATCACAGCTCAAATGTCAGTTTCTTAAAGTAGTCTTGCCAAACAATACTTCCAAAGAAAACTTTTCACCCATCTTGTTATTCTCTCAAAACATATTATTATTTTCTATCACAGCACTTATCAAACTTGCAATTTAACATTTGTTTGTACAACTGTTTATCATCTGTCTTTCTCAATATAACTTTATGAGGGCAGAAATCATGCCCACTTTATCCACCACTTCTTACAAAATCCCTGGCACATCGCAGGTGTTTAATAAATGTTCACTGAATAATGAAGAAATATGCATTATGGGAATTGAAAAATTATCATTTACATGTTAAAAAATTATAAGTTTAAAAAATTTTTTAAGTTCAAGGTGCATGTACAGGATGTGCAGGTTTGTTGCATAGGAAACTTGTGTTATGGGAGTTTGTTGTACAGATTATTTCACCACCCAGGTATTAAGCTTAGTAGCCATTGGTTATTTTTCCTGATCCTCTCCCTCCTCCTACCTTCCACCCTCCAATAGGCCCATTGTGTGTTGTTCCCCTCTATGTGTCCATGTGTTCTCATCATTTAGCTCCCACTTATAAGTGAGAACATGCTGTATTTTCCTGAGTTAGTTTGCTAAGGATAATAGCCTCCAGCTCCATCCATGTCCCTGCAAAGAACATAATCTCATTCTTTCTTATGGCTGCATAGTATTCCAAGGTGAATATGTACCACATTTTCAGTACTTTTTTATTATGTTTAGATGTCTCACATTTATGAAAGGCTACTTTTAAACATATGTGTGTGTGTGTATATATATATATACATATATATATATTTGTATTTAGTTGTTCCTTAAATAGTCTTTTCTGAGCATAAAGTCACCTCCCTCTCCCATATTATCTTCAACTACCCATCCTTCCAGTTATTTATAGAGATACATATTGGATTTGTTGATATGGAGAAACAGACAGTATGTCTCCTTAAGCAACTCTACTAGAGTTATGCCATTTTTAAGTGCTTTACTGTGTCATTTTTTTACATGTATTAGACTTTAACATTCCATCTTGATGGTTACTATCTTTTCCTTTTACAAATATCAATGCCCTTAATTTCTATGTAATACATTTACATTTACAAGAATTTCCTTACAATTTATACCCAGAAATACTATCTATCAAAAGAGTATATACAATTTAAAATGGTAGATATTGTCAAATACCCTTCTAAAAGATGACACAAATTTTTACTTTCTTCAAAAGTGAATGTGAATATTTTTTCCCTACAGTTTGAGACTGCCAGACATTGTAAAGTTATTTTATATGTGATTTCAATGTATTTATCTTGTTATTAAATGTTCACATTGAACACATTTTTATACCTTTATTGATTTTTGTGATTTTTTTTTCCTTTGGTGAATTGCCTGTTCTTTTCTGAGCGCATTCCTATGTTTAATTATATTTTTTGGTCTCCATTTGTGAGAAAAATTGATTTATATATGAATAAATAAATAAAATTTTTGTCTTTTTCACATGGTGGACATATTCCTGCCAGTCTGCAATTTTTTTTCACTTAGTTTATGAAGTATATTACCAATAAGAAATATATACGTGGTCAAAGCTGTCAATCATTTTCTTCTGGTTTCAGTTAAATTAGAATATGTGTGTTTGTGTGTATGTACATATGTACATTTACATATTTTAGAATTTTTAAACATTTAATTATTTAATATCCCAACCCTGCATGAAGCAAAGATTCTTAACTTTGCATGCAATCTAGCCAATTCACATGAGTTCATCTCATGTCTTGTGAAACTTTTTAAATGTAGCCAACGGTACCACAGCAGGTATACAACACTCAATTTCCCTATATGCCAGAGACACAAACTGAGTCAATAATTTATCTGCTTCCAAAATTATAGCTGATGCAGTTTTTAAAAATGTTTGGCCACAGCATCCCGTCACTGTCCTTCTAACTTCTAGTAGCAGTTTTTCACCATCTAGTACATGGACATGAGGCTAGTGCTGCCTGCTTAAGGTTTTCTGATATAGTAGTACTCATCTTGTCTATCAGTCAGGACACATAAAATTATATAATCTCTCTAAAGATTGTGGTGTAAAGATGTTTATTTTCTCACACTGCATATGTCCATTAGGAGTAAGTCCATGCAAGAATAATGATAAATCTGTTATTAGATCCTAGAACATTATACAGTAGCAAAATATTTTGTAAAACAGTAATAGCCTGTAGTTTTCACTCCAGGAATTAGGGTGAAAAAATAGCCTCTCTCTGGAACATAGCAAGCCTCATGACACAGGGACAAAAGAAAAATGAACTTGAAGCTTCTGTTCAGGAGTGGCACACATCGCTTCCACAAACAATTAATTGGCTAAAGCAAATCACCTGAAGCTCTTGTGTTTAAAGGGCAGATGCTCTGCCAGGGGGGAGAAGAAATACTCATGAAAGTAATAAAAGATTACTTTTGCCTTTCTCCTTCATTGACTCTATTTTTCAGACAGACATGAGCAGGGCAGGAGATGGTGAACCTGCAAGCAGGAATGTCAGGCGACCATCAGGTGATGTTCAGGCGGTTGTTAACTGTCTCTCTAAAATAATAGTTGGTTGCAGCCAGCACGAGGGAAAGGCAGTCTCCCCGTAGATAGAAAATACCTAAAAAAATTGGTGATCAACAGCTTGCCTGTAAGATCTCAGGAGTTGCATGAGTGAGCTCGAGCATGCACACTAAGAGGCAAAACGGTGAAGTTTAACTGGTATATGACCTCCTAGGGACATTTGGCTGGTAAGGGAAGAATACCTCAAGTGAACATGCCTGCAACTCCAGTAAACGCACCTTGCACTCTCCTCCCAAGTGCTATCAGGCCACTGCACATGCAGATAGCCCACTACAAGCAAAGAATCAGGGGAGAAAAGAGGCAGACCTTGGAAGTATGCCAACGTATGAAACCCCAAGTCAAAAGGTCAAATGCACACTTGGCTTTCTCAAGTAGCCCACCTGTCCCTCTTCCAACTATAATTTCCTTCCTTTTATTTCTGCTCTAAAGCTTTTTAATAAACTTTCACTCCTGCTCTAAAATTTGCTTTAATTTCTGCCTTATGCACTTCAGTCAAATTCTTTCTTCTGAGGAGGTAAGAATTGAGGTACTGTAGACCCATATAGATTCGCCGCCGGTAACGTTTTGGTGCGGTGTGACTGGGATAATTTCCACTCCTAATATATTCTGTCTGTGGAATTCTTGGTTTTAACTTTCTGAGTGTTTTGGCTGTATGTCCTAGGATATTGCTCTGAATTTATCTTCCATATGATTAATTTAGTCTTCAACAGTGTTTATTCTGTTATTTTATTTTTAATCAAGCTTAAATATTATAATTAATTCTGAAGTGGGTACTTAGTTTTTTTTATTTTTTAGTTTGTATTTTAGCTTGTTGTTTTTTAGTTTGTCTCTGATTCACACCAGTCTGCTAAATTTGAAGGTAAAATCTGTGCAGATGCATAGAGCATATTGATAAGAAAGATTCAATAGAAATACAAGGTGAAGGATGCAGACAATGCATTTGACTTTCTCAACTGTTAAAACAGGAGAAACTTGCTCTGGAAAGAGACTACTTTCATGATTTTTTTTTCCTTCCTGGCATCTTCAGATAAGACATTCTCCAAATTTTTGTGGATTCCCCCAAACTCTAATTAACAAAAGAATGGAAAAAAGAAAAAGAACCTTCTTAAGAAATAAGTAAGTATGAAGCATGAAGTTCTCTGTATTTTAGCTTGGAAAACTCAACCCAACAATATTTGGATGAGAATATTAAAGCTCCCTCTCTCCTTTACTTATACTATACAATTAAATGACTAGGCAAAGACCCTTAGTCATTCTCCCAGAGCAACATAATAATTTATGGGGCCAGATGAAAAATCTGAGTCACTCTCATTGTTGGGATAGATAATTCTACCAGCAACTGAGCCCAGTAATTTAGATGTATAGTGGTAAATAAATGATGGCTTTTTAACTCTTGTTGACTAAGAATCATTTATGTATTTATTTCTCTCTCTTAATGCTTAGTACTTAAACATTATGTTACTGTACTTTCAGCAATGGCCTTGTGAGTAAACAATTATCAGTGGGGGGTGAAATTGTGGAAAGGGGAAGTAAAAAATGTTAAGGATGCAATTTCTTAGTGAAAAATGAATGTGCAGATATGTAAAAATATCTTGGTGTGTGACCATGGTTTTGTCTCACATGGGTTACTTCTGTAGCTCTGACTCAGACTCATGTGCTTCTCAAAATCCATTTTCAAAGGAGATTATCCCATGTTTTACTGTTATATATCAGATTACTTTCTCTAACAGTGGTCTGTTCCAGCATTCACTGGCTCCACCCTCCTGGGAAGTTATGTTTCTATTTTTTCAAACAATTCTGCTCTTCTATAATGTTACGATACTTTTGTCTGTTTCTTTAGTACTGTATACCCATATCCCTAGATCATAGCAGGCATTTAATATATTTCATTGAATAAATTAAAAATGCATAAATTGGGCACCTAATTGTACATCTGGTGATAAATATCTCCCTAAATGTGCACTGTTCAGAGGAGTCAAATCATAATTAAAACCACTTTAGGATGAGCGGCCAATCTGTTTGATGGCGAAGCCATTCTGTCATGCCATTTTAATTATAATGATTCTCGTCAAAATGTTCTAGAAATTTGATTCCAAGATTTTGGTAGATTAATGTCTTGTTGACATTTTAGGAATTGGCGTTCACTTTTCCTGAATTCATTTTTACCTTGAACTTGATGTGGTATTTGTCATATTTTATGTTTCAGGTATTTGCTACCATTGCTTATAATCATCAAGTAACCAAACCTTAACTAGCATTGTAATGTTATGAGGTTTGTGCCGTGAATGGTCATTAAATTAATATTTTTCATCATAGAAATTGTCATTTATAGAGGATTTGACAATCGTCCAAATTAGTCTTAAACTCTTTCCACCTATCTAACTTGCAAGGATTCCATTTACTAAATAAAAAATAGAGCAGCTAAACCAAAGGCACATTTTTATTTTCATTTATTTTTTCAATTTCCACTTAAATGGTTCATGACTTTTTTAGTTAGAAAAACATAAAACATTCAAAATTATCTTGATTATTTGCTTTATTAGCCCACAAAGAGAGAAGAAAATAAATAAATGCAAGCAGGTGTTATACACAGATGTGCATTGCTAAAGCTAATAATATGCCATTCTTTCTTAATAGAATTCTCCCAGTACATTTTTTTGCCTGAATCATACACCATTGAAGTTCAAACCCAAGAATTAAAAAAGAAAACTCAGTCATAATTCAATATATAATGAAATATTTTCTCTATTCACTTTTTTCATGTGTTCAAACATAAAATAGATGTAGTGGACCTATCAGGAATGCATTGGCCCTTAGTCATAAGGTTTTATGGGAAGAGTCAGAATAATATATGATTAGTGAGTATTAAAGAAAGAAGGGAAGAACACACTTGATTTGAATTTTATAATCTAGCAACACAAAGATGCAGAATACACAATGGCAAAGATTATTGTCCCTGAAGTCAGACCCATCTGGCTTCAAACCCCGGCTCAACCATTTAGTAAGAGTGAGATTGGGCAAGTCACTTAAGCTCTCTGTGCTCTAGTTAACTACTCTGTGAAATGAAGATAATAATATCACTTAAGTCATGGGTGATTGTGAGAATTAAATGAGTTAATACGTGTTGCTCAGAAGAGTGATTAGAACAGAGGAAGAAGTGTTAAAATTACTTTTGTCATTACCACCTGAGAGAATGTAGTATGGTATTAGTGAAAAGGTAGTGATAGGCAAGTTCTGTTAAATGTTTCAAAAGTGAACCCTAGGAATTATGTGTACTTTTTCATGGCAAAGATACCCATTAGTTGGACTGTGTTAAATGCATAATTCAAAATTCTTCTAATGTTTAGTGGAAAGCATGGCTAAAAACATAATTAAGCAAACACTCTAGTGACATTGTTGATTGCCTATCTATTTATCCCTTTACAATTGAAAAACAATTTTCTTTCAGATATTCAACGCTCACCTAGGTTGGTATCCATTTTGTTTGAAAGGGAGCATATTGTTGAAGGGGGTTTTATTTGGTCTGAAGGAGAAGGTAGAACATGAAGGAGGAGAGAGTGAAGAGAATAAGTGACATAGAGCCAGAGTCCTTAGTGAATGACAGAAGATCATTGCCTTAGCTGTAGACTCTCTCAGTTATGTGATGTAAGATAATCCTTTTGTCATTAAAACCTGTTATCTATTTCATGATTGCTGCAACTAAAAGTTTCATAACAATGTACACACACATTTACACCTTCTGTACATTTATGCTTCCAAAGAAAATCTATGGTAGTTTTCATTTGGCGGCAAGTAACAGAAAACCCAAGCTAAAAGTAGCTTATTACAATCTAACAATTAATTGATTCTATACGGATGGTCCCTGACTTACAAAGTTTCAATTTAATTATCATACAACTATACTGTTTTTCACTTTCAGTACAGTATTCAATAAATTATTTGAGATATTCAACACTTTGTTATAAAATAGGCTTTGAGTTAGATGGTTTTGCCCAGCTCTAGGCTACTACAAGTGTTCTGAGAACATTTAAACATTTAAAGTGGGCTAGGTTAAGCTATGATGTTCTAAATTACCTGCAATGTAGAAGTTAATAAAAGTGAATATTAATTGAGTAGATATGGTAATATGTTCCAAATGGTATCATAGGATTTTATATTTATGATGTTATATATTCATCACAGGCAACTCATGATTTAAGTACTGTTTATCAGAAGTAACCTCATCGTAAGTAGAAGAGCATCTGTACTTGGAAGATGAAGGGTACAGTGTGCTTTAGAGCTGGCTTAATTCAGTCTATCCAGCTCAATTTTTTTCTGATCCTCCAAGGTCTGCTTTTTTTTTATTTGTTTGTTTAATTTTCTTTTGGTGTGTTTTGGCTTCATCTTCAGGCTGATACTAAGATGACTGTCAGACTTAAACAACTTACATTCACATGTCTCCATTTAAGTATTGTTAGAAAAATAAGACACTAGGAAGGTCGAATAATTTGACTACATCACAATTTGGAAGTGTTATGACACATTCTCTTATTCTTGCCCAACTCTAGAGGCCAGGCTCTTAAGCAGTATGCAACACTATATTACTCATAGTAATTGAAGGAAGATAAGATACAGAACATAACAAATGAGAGATAATTCTTGGACCTTGTTGATTATTATAAATCCCTTTCAGTGGGGAGTTCTTGCAAGAGTTCTTTGAAAGGAGGGGGCGACCTGTATCATTTGAAGAGTAGAGTTTGTAAGATTTGACTGTTGCCTAAGGTGAAAGGTATTCACTACTGAGAATATTCTGGAATTTTTCTCTGAAGGAGATGTCTATAGTTTGAGAATTTTGTTTCTAATTTATGAAGTATTAGGAGGAGAATTATTTTAGAAATAAATGTGAAATATAATAATATAAAAATGAAATATTTATATGTATAAAATGTAGTAGCACAAAAAGCTACAGAAAAACCATGTAATGATATTAACAAACAAAATGCCTCTATGAGAAAGCTTTTGTTTGATCGGAAAACTCATTTAATTACAGTGCTCTTTATATAATAAAAACGTGACATAAGCATCATGAGAAGAAAGTAGAATATTTAAAAGATAAATTATTTCTGTGCCTACAAAAATGTGATCAAAATTTGTGTGAAAACTCACCTTCCACAGGCAAATGCACAATAGACATATGTACAATAAATATACTGTTGGAGCTATGTTCTCTTTCCTAACGACACTGTGTGTGTGTGTGTGTGTGTGTGTGTGTGTGTGTGTGTGTGCTTATTTAGAGGTGGACCTCGAAATAATACTAAATTGGGCCCTACATCAATTTTTAATAATTCATTTTCCATGTTTTTATTTTATTTGTTCTTATAACTTCAACTTTTTTTTTTAACAGTCAGTCAGTGGATTCCCTTATTCACAATCATAACTCAACTTTCAGGAAAAGAGGACAACCTTCATTTTAAGAAGTTTTCCATAAACAGTGATGATCCTAACTTCCAAAATCTAAGAACTCAGCATTTGAGCATGGAGCCTCACAAATTCCCCATATATTATTCACTTAGGGTAATTTAAGATCTTTCTTTCTGGAGCCACATTCTAGAGATCCTAGTACCACCACATGCTTTTAAAAGGTATTGACCACTTCTCTCATGGATTATGGCTTTAAGTGAAGACAGCTTATTTCTTGTCTTTATGCTGAGCACTAAGTAGGACTGTTTAAAAACCAGGAGCATTTATATAGTGACACTAAAGTAACACAGGTCTTGCCTTTGTAATTTTGTCACAAAATCCACTCACATTGGAAACTAGATTTTCCCAAAGTCCAAGTAAAATGGTGTGCCTTAGTTGTACAGGCCAGGAGAAGATTTTACCATCAGGCAGGGGCCAGCTGCTATGTTCTTTTTTCTATGTGGATAACCATCCATTTAATTAAAGTCAGTGAATTTTAAAACAGAAAAATAAGAGGATAAGCTGTATGATTTAACAAGTGTCTTAAATGTCAAGTGACTATAGCCTAAAACATCTCCAAATTTAAATTTGTTTTTTTTAATACTTTAAGTTCTAGGGTACATGTGCACAACGTGCAGGTTTGTTACATATGTATACATGTGCCATGTTGGTGTGCTGCACCCATTAACTCATCATTTACATTAGGTATATCTCCTAATGCTCTCCCTCCCCCTCCCCCCACCCCACGGCAGGCCCCACTGTGTGATGTTCCCCTTCCTATGTCCAGGTGTTCTCATTGTTCAATTCCCACCTATGAGTGAGAACATGTGGTGTTTGGTTTTTTGTCCTTGGGATGGTTTGCTGAGAATGATGGTTTCCAGCTTCATCCATGTCCCTACAAAGGACATGAACTCATCCTTTTTTATGGCTGCATAGTATTCTATGGTGTATATGTGCCACATTTTCTTAATCAGCTTCAAAGAGAATAAAATACCTAGGAATCCAAATTACAAGGGATGTGAAGGACCTCTTCAAGGAGAACTACAAACCACTGCTCAATGAAATAAAAGAGGACACAAACAAATGGAAGAACATTCCATGCTCTTGGATAGGAAGAATCAATATCATGAAAATGGCCATACTGCCCAAGGTAATTTATAGATTCAGTGCCATCCCTGTCAAGCTACCAATGTCTTTCTTCACAGAATTGGAAAAAACTACTTTAAAGTTCATATGGAACCAAAAAAGAGCCCACATTGCCAAGTCAATCCTAAGCCAAAAGAACAAAGCTGGAGGCATCACGCTACCTGACTTCAAACTATACTACAAGGCTATAGTAACCAAAACAGCATGGTGCTAGTACCAAAACAGAGATATAGACCAATGGAACAGAACAGAGCCCTCAGAAATAATACCACACATCTACAACCATATGCTGTTTGATAAACCTGACAAAAACAAGAAATGGGGAAGGATTCCCTATTTAATCTATGGTGCTGGGAAAACTGGCTAGCCATATGTAGAAAGCCAAAACTGGATCCCTTCCTTACACCTTATACAAAAATTAATTCAAGATGGATTAAAGACTTAAATGTTAGACCTGAAACCATAAAAACCCTAGAAGAAAACCTAGGCAATACCATTCAGGACATAGGCATGGGCAAGGACTTCATGTCTAAAACACCAAAAGCAATGGCAACAAAAGCCAAAATTGACAAATGGGATCTAATTAAACTAAAGAGCTTCTGCACAGCAAAAGAAACTACCATCAAAGTGAAAAGGTAACCTACAGAACGGGAGAAAATTTTTGCAATCTACTCATCTGACAAAGGGCTAATATCCAGAATCTACAAAGAACTCAAACAAATTTACAAGAAAAAAACAACCCCATCAACAAGTGGGTGAAGGATATGAACAGACACTTCTCAAAAGAAGACATTTATGCAGCCAGCAGACACATGAAAAAATGCTCATCATCACTGGCCATCAGAGAAATGCAAATCAAAACCACAATGGGATACCATCTCACATCAGTTAGAATGGTGATCATTAAAAAGTCAGGAAACAGCAGGTGCTGGAGAGGATGTGGAGAAATAGGAACACTTTTGCACTGTTGGTGGGACTTTAAACTAGTTCAACCATTGTGGAAGTCAGTGTGGCGATTCCTCAGGGATCTAGAACTAGAAGTACCATTTGACCCAGCCATCCCATTACTGGGTATATACTCAAAGGATTATAAATCATGCTTCTATAAAGACACATGCACATGTATGTTTATTGCGGCACTATTCACAATAGCAAAGACTTGGAACCAACTCAAACGTCCATCAATGATAGACTGGATTAACTTCAACTTTTATTTTAGATTCAGTGGGTCTGTGTGTAGGTTTGTTACGTGGGTATATTTCATGATGCTGAGATTTGGGGTATGACTGATCTCATCACCCAGGTACTGCACATAGTACCCGATAGTTTTTTGACCTGTCCGCTCTACTTTCCTCCCTGCTCTAATAGGCCCTACTGTCTATTGATGCCATGTTTATGTCCATGAGTATCCAATGTTTAACTCCTACTTAGAATTGAGAACATGCTGTATTTGGTTTTCTGTTCCTGTGTTAATTTGCTTAGAATGATGGCCTCCAGCTGCATCCATGTTGAGCAAAGGACATGTTTTCTTTTCTTTTTTTTTTTTACAGCTACATATTATTCCATGTTGTATACGTACCACATTTTCTTTATCAAATCCACCATTGATAAGCACCTAGGTTGATTCTATGTTTTTGCTACTATGATAGCCCTGTGATGAACATGTGAGTACGTGGGTCTTTTTGGTTGAATGATTTATTTTCTTTTGGATATATACCCAGTAATGGGGTTGCTAGGTAAAATGGTAGTTCTGTTTTAAGTTCTTTGAGAAATCTTGAAACTGCTTTCCACAGTGGCTGAACTAATTTACACTCCCAACAGCAGTGTATAAGCATTCCCTTTTCTCTGCAACTTCAACAACATCTGTTACTTGCCTTTTTAAAAACAGCCATTCTGAATAGTGTGAGATTGTATCTCATCATGGTTTTGATTTGCAAATTCTCTGATCATTAGTGACAATAAGCATTTTTTTCATATGTTTATTGGCCACTTTTATGTCCTCTTTTGAGAAGCATCCGTTTAGATCCTTTGCTCATTTTTTAAATAGGGTTTTTTGTTTTTGCTTGTTGATTTGTTTAAGTTTGTAATAGATTCTGGATATTAGACCTTTGTCAGATGCATAGTTTGCAAATATTTTCTCCCGTTCTCTACATCATCTGTTTTCTCTGTTGATAGTTTATTTTGCTATTCAGAAGTTCTTTAGTTTAATTAAGCCCCATTTGTCAACTTCTGTTTTGTTGCAATTGCTTCTGAGGACTTAGTCATAAATTCTGTCCTAAGACCAATGTCAAGAATGGTTTTTCCTAGATTTTCTTCCAGGATTCTTATAATTTGACATCTTACATTTAAATGTTTAATGCATGTTGAGTTAATTTTTGTATATGGTGAAAGGTGGGGATTCAGTTTCATTCTTCTGTGTGTGGCCAGCCAGCTATCCCACAACAATTTATAAAAAAGGGAAGACTTTTCCCCACTGCTTAATTTTTATTTGACTTTATCGACATCAGATGGCTGTAGGTGTGCAGTTGTATATCTGGGTTCTCCTACCTGTCCTACACATTACTCTATATGTCTGTCTTTGTACCAGTACCATGTTGTTTTATTTACTGTAACCTTATAGTATAGTTTCAAGTCAGATAATGCAATGCCTCTGGCTTTGTTCTTTTTGCTCAGGACTGCTTTGGCTATTCAGGATCCATATGAATTTTAGAATATTTTTTTCTAATTCTGTGAAAAATGACACTGGTAGTTTGATAGGAATAACATTGAATCTGAAAACTGCTTTGGGCAGTGTGGCCATTTTAATGATATTGATTGTTCCAATCCAGGAGCATGGAAGGTTTTTCTATTTGTTGGTGTCTTTTATGATTTCTTTCAGCAATGTTTTGTAGTTCTACTTGTAAAGCCTTTTCACCTTCTTGGTTAGACGTATTTCTAGGTATTTTATTTTATTTTGTGGCTACTGTAAGTGGAACTGCATTTTTTATTTGGCTGTCAGCTTGAACGTTATTGGCGTGCAGACATGCTACTGATTTTTGCACACTGATTTTGTAACCTGAAACTTTACTGTAATTGCTTACCAATTCCAGGAGCCTTTTGGCAGAATCTTTAGGGTTATCAAGATATAGAATCACATTGTCAGTGAAGAGAGATGGTTTGACTTCCTCTCTTCCTATTTTGATGCTTTTTATTTCTTTCTCTTACCTTAGTGCTCTGGCTAGAACTTCCAGTACTCTGTGGAATAGGAGTGGTGAGAGTGGGCATCCTCATCTCATTCCAGTTCTCAAGGGAAATGCTTCCAGCTTTTGCCCATTCAGTATAATATTGGCTCTGAGTTTGTCTTAGATGGCTCTTATTTTGAGGTATGTTACTTAAATACTTAGTATTGAGAGAGTTTTTAACATGAAGGGATGTTGAAATTTATTGAAACCTTTTTCTGCATCTGTTGAGATGATCATGTTTCTGTTTTTATTTCTGGTTGTGTGGTGAATCATATTTATTGATTGGTATATGTTGAACCAATCTTGCATCACAGGAATGAAGCCTACTTGATTATAGTGAATTAATATTTGATGTGCTGTGGGATTTGGTTTGCTAGCATTTTGTTAAGGATTTTGTATCTATGTTCATCCTGGATATTGGCCCATAGTTTTATTTTATGTGTCTGTGCGTGTGTCTGTCAGGTTTCGATATCAGGATGATGCTAGCTTTGTAGAATGAGTTACAGAAGTTTCTCTCCTCAATTTTTTAGAATAGTTTCACTAGAATTGGTACGAGCTCTTTGTTTTACATCTGATAGAATTTGACTGTGGCTCCATCTGGTCCTGGGCTTTGTTTGGCAGGTTTTTTATTACTGACTCAATTTCAGAACTTGATATTGGTCTGTTTAGAGTTTCAGTTTCTTCCTAATTGAATCTTGGGAGGTTGTGTGTTACCAGGAAAATTTGTCAATTTCCTCTAGATTTTCTGTTCATAGAGATGTTCATAATATTCTCTGAAGATCTTTGATATTTCTGTGGGATCAGTCATAATGTTATTTTTTGCCATTAGTAATTGTGCTTATGTGGGTCCTTATCTTTTTCCTTGTTAATCTAGCTAGCAATGTATCAATCTTGTTTATCCTTTTAAATAAACAATTTTTTGTTTCATTGATTTTCTGTGTGGATTTTAAGGTCCATAGAGATTTTATTTATTTCTTGTCTTCTGCTAGCTTTGGAAGTAGTTCACACTTCTTTTTCTAGTTCCTCTAGGTGTGATGTTAGATCATTAATTTGAGATCTTTCTAACTTTTTGATGAAGGCGTTTAGTGCTATAAACTTTCCCCTTAACACTGCCTTTGCTGCATCCCAGAGATTCTGCTATGCTGCTATGTTGTGTCTGTTTTCATTTATTTCAAAAAAGCTTTTTATTTATGCCTTAATTTCATTGTTTACAGAAAAGATACTTAGAAGCAAGTTGTTTAATTTCCCTGTAACTGTGTAGTTTTGAGAAATCTTCTTGGTAACACCCCACTGACAGCATTAGACAGATAATTGAGGTAGAAAACTAACAAAGAATTTCCGAACTTAAGTTCAACACTTTACCAATTAGATCTGATAGATGTCTACAGAATAGTCCACCCATCAACCACAGTATATACCTCCTTCTCATCTACACATGGAACATACTCCAAGATCAACCACAACTTGGCCATAAAACATCTTAATAAATTTTTTAAAATTGAAATATTACCATCCATATGACATTTTTGTTTTAAATTGCTATTACTTTAAAACAAAAATTGGCTGACATTTGTTGGTGTACTCTAAACATAAAATTGCAACTTCCTCCATTCTGTGCCTATTAGTTGGTTTCTCACATGGCAGCTAAAGTGGTGTAAACTAGGTGGAAACTTGGATCAAGTTTTTTAAATGTAATAATAGGACTTAATATATAACATCAAAATGGTGTCCAATAGTGATGATTATTGATCTTCTTTGTTTCATAATTTTTCTATTCATTGCCTAAAAAACAAGACATATTATAGAGGGTCTCTTCTGCTCCTTGCTTTTCCTTGGCTTGTCAGTGGTATCTGTGGCAGTCATAAAGTTGTGCCACATAGACCTCCCTTCAAGATTGAACTTGTCATCAGGTGTAACGTTGATAATATTTAGCTGTAGGTACTTTCATTATCTACTTGAGCTCTCAAGGTGAAGCCTTGCTTTTCCTAAAAACCACACAGACCGTGAAACACAGAGAATGAAAGAGCATGATGAGAGCCCTATTTCTGCACAGCCTTTGCCCTAGACCTCCACATTTGGCTACGACTTTCCCAGAGTGGCACTGTAGTCTGAGGCCCTTCCTGCTCTCTCCTCCTTCCTTATCTCTCTCATTTCACAGGTTTCAGACCTATATCATGGCCAGAAGTCTTTCCCTGCCTATTCCTGATCTCTCTTTCTTTATCTTTCCCAATCATTTTCCCGAATGAAAGCTCTTGCACTTTTAAATCTGTCTTGGTATCTCCTTCCTGGAGAATATAACTGACACAGTATCAAATGTGAGATTTTCATACTGCTTTCTATAGTCTTTGTGATGGTATTCTCACAAGAAGCCAGGGAATCCTCATGAGTAGATTTAATAGCAAAACACAGTTATTTTTTGAATGAAGACATTATTCACTAATTCAAATGTATTTGAGAGTTACTATACTCCACACTGTTCTATATCTTGAAATATATCAAATAACATACATGATACAATGAGTCATTAAGGGAGAAATGATTTATGGCTCTGGCAAAGTGTCAAAAATTTGGCATTTATCAAAAATAGACTAAATCATCAGTTCACACCACACTTCAAATAAGTACTCAATTTCTTGACTATTCAATGTAAAATAAAAATGACCAACAAAAATGTAAAACAAAATAATAAAAGGTCTAGAATAAGAGAGTTGCAAATATGCATCTGTTCTCGATGTAAGAGCAGTATTTTTCTAAGTATAAAAACAACTGAATGCATCACAAAAATATCCCATCGTTACAATGATTAACTATAAAAGTTTCTGTGCTTCAAAAACAGCAATGATTTAAAATGATTTTAATAATTCACTGGTGTGTGTCATGCTAACATTATCTAATCTGGAACCACCATATTATTTTCTTTTGTAAAAAACTTTTATTTTAAGTTCAGGTATACATGTGCAGGTTTGTTACATAGGTAAACTCGTGTCATGGGGGTTTTTGGTACAGATTATTTCATCACCCAGGTATTAAGCCTAGTACCAGTTGGTTATTTTTCTTGATCGTCTCCCTTGTCCCACCCTCCACCCTCAAGTAGGCCCCAGTGTCTGTTCTTTCCCTCTATGTGTCCATGTGTTCTCATAATTTAGCTCCCACTTATAAGTGAAAAATATGCAGTTTTTGGTTTTCTGTTCTTGCTTTAGTTTGCTAAGGATAATGGCCTCCAACTCTATCCATGTCCCTGCAAAGGACATGATCTCATTCTTTTTTATGGCTGCATAGTATTACATGGCATATATGTACCACATTTTCTTTATCCAGTCTAGCATTAATGGACATTTAGATTGATTCCCTGTCTTTGTTTTTGTGAATAGTGCTGCTATGAACATCAGTGTGTATGTGTCTTTATAATAAAATGATTTATATTCCTTTGGGCATATACCCAGTAATGGGATTGCTGGGTCAAATGGTAGTTCTCCTTTTAGTCCTTTGAGGAATTACCACACTGCTTTCCACAAGGGTTGAAGTAATTTACACTTCCACTAATAGTGTATAAGCATTCCTTTTTCTCCTCGTCTTCACCAGCATCTGTTATTTTTTGACTTTTTATTAATAGCCATTCTGAATGGTGTGGGATGGCATTTCATTGTGGTTTTCATTTGCATTTCTCTATCAGTGTGGTTGCACTATTTTCATATGCTTGTTGGCTGCGTGTATGTCTTCTTTTGAAGTGTTCATGTCATTTGCCCACTTTTTAATGAGGTTTTTTTTCTTGTAAATTTAAGTTCCTTATAGATGCTGAATATTAGGACTTTGTCAAATGCATAGTTTGCAAATATTTTCTCTCATTCTGTAGGTTGTCTGTTTACTCTGATGATAGATAGTTTCTTTTCCTGTGCAGAAGCTCTTTGGTTTAATTAAGTCCGATTTGTCAATTTTTCTTTTTGTTGTAATTGCTTTTGGCATCTTCATCTTGAAATCTTTGCCCATTCCTATGTCCAGAATGTTATTTCCTACTATCGTAGTTTCTTTTGCTGTGCAGAAGATCTTTAGTTTAATTAGACCCCATTTGTCAATTTTTGCTTTTTTTTTTTTCACTGCTTTTGGCATCTTCATCATGAAATCTTTGCCTATTTCTATGTCCAGAATGGTATTGCGTAGGTTGTCTTCCAGGGTTTTTATAGTTATGGGTTTTCCAATTTAAGTCTTTAATTCATTTTGAGGTGTTTTTTGTTCTTGTTTTTGTTTTGTATATGGTGTAAGGAAGGGGCCCAGTTATCCCAGCACCATTTACTGAAGAGGGAATCTTTTCCCATTGTTTGTTTTTGTCAGTTTTGTCACAGATGAGGTGGTTGTAGGTGTGCAGGCTTATTTTTGGCTCTCTATTCTGTTTCATTGGTCTATATGTCTGTTTCCGTACTGGTACCATGCTGTTTTGATTACTGTAGCCCTGTTAGTATAGTTTGAAGTCAGGTAGCGTGATGCCTCCAGATTTGTTCTTTTGCTTAGGATTGGCTTGGCTATTCAGGCTCTTTCTTGGCTCCATATGAATTTTAAAATAGTGGGTTTTTTTTTTCTAGTTTTGTAGAGAAGTCATGTGTAGTTTGATAGAAATGACATTAAATCCATAAATTCCTCTGGGCAGTATGGTCATTTTAATTATAGTGATTCTTTTTATCCATGAGCATGGAATGTTTTTTCATTTGTTTGTATCTGCTCTGATTTCTTTGAGCAGTGTTTTGTAGTTCTTATTGTGGAGACCTTTTACCTCCTTGTATTCCTAGGTATTTTATTCTTTTTGTGGTAATTGTGATTAGGATTGCATTTCTGATTTGGCTCTCATCTTGACTGTTGTTGGTGTATCAGAATGCTAGTGATTTTTGTACATTGATTTTGTATCCTGAGACTTTGCCGAAGTTGTTTATAAACTTAAGGAGCTTTTGGGCCAAGATTATGAAATTTTCTAGCTATAGAATCATGTCATCTGAAAGCAGGGATAGCTTGACTTTCTCTCTTCCTATTTGGATTCCCTTTATTTCTTTCTCTTGTCTAATTGCCCTGGCTAGGACTTTCAATACTATATTGAATAGGAATGGTGACAGAGGCCATCCTTGTCTTCTGCTGGTTTTCAAGGGGAATGCCTCCAGCTTTTGCCCATTCAGTACAATATTAGCTGTGGGTTTGTCGTGGATGGCTCTTATTATTTTGAGGTATTATCCTTCAATACCTACTTTATTGAGAGTTTTTAACATAAAGGGGCATTGACTTTTTTAAAAAGCCTTGTCTGATTCTGTTGAGAAAGTCATGTTTTTGTGGGTTTTTTTTTTTTTTTTTTTGATGGAATCTTGCTCTGTCACCCAGGCTGGAGTGCAATGGTCTGATCTCTGCTTGCTGCAACCTCCTCCTCCAGGGTTCCAGCGATTCTCCTGCCTCAGCCTCCTGAGTAGCTGGGATTACAAGTGTGCGCCACCATGCCTGGCTAATTTTTGCATTTTTAGTAGAGACAGGGTTTCATCAGGCTGGTCTCAAACTCCTGACTTCGTGATCCATCCCCCCTTGGCCTCCCAAAGTGCAGGAATTACAGGCGCGAGCCACCATGCCCGGCCAGTTTTTAGCTTTAATTCTTTTTAAGTGATGAGTCACATTTATTGATTTGTGTATGTTGAACTAACCTTATATGCCAGGATTAAAGCCTACTTAATTGTGATTGATAAACTTTTTGATGTGCTCCTGGATTCAGTTTGCCAACTTTTTTTATTTTGAGATGGAGTCTCATTCTATTCCCCAGGCTGGAGTGCAGAGGCATGATCTCGGCTCACTGCAAGGTCTGCCTCCCGGGTTCAAGCAAGTCTCGTGCTTCAGCCTCCCAAATAGCTGGGATTACAGATTTGCACCACCACACTTGGCTGATTTTTGTATTTTTAGTACAGATGTGGTTTCACCCTGTTGACCAGGCTGATCTCAAACTCCTGACCTCAGGTGATCTGCAAGCCTTGGCCTCCCAAAGTGCTGGGATTATAGGTGTGAGCACCCAGCTGGTTTGACAGTATTTTGTTGAGGATTAGGATATTGGCCTGAATGTTTTGTTATTGTTGTGTCTCTGCCAGGTTTTTGTATCAGGATGATGCTGCTGGCCTCATGGAATGAGTTAAAGATAAGTCTCTCTTCCTCAATTTTTTGGAATAGTTTCACTAGGAATGGTACTAGCTCTTCTTTTTATATCTGGTAGAATTCAGCTGTGAATCATCTGGTTCTGGGCTCTCTTTGCTAGGTAGGCTATTTATTACTCATTCAATTTTGGAGCTTGATATTGATCTGCTCAGGGGTTCAATTTCTTTCTGGCTCAGTACTTGGAGGGTGTCTGTGTCCAGGAATTTATGCATTTTTTTCTAGATTTTCTACTTTGTGTGCACATAGAGGTTCATAATATTCTCTGATGTTTATTTGTATTTCTGCGGGGTCAGCGGTAATATCCCCTTTGTTATTTCTGATTGTGTTTATTTGCATCTTTTTTTTTCTTTTCTTCTTTATTGGCCTAGCTAGTGCTCTATTTCATTAATTTTTTAAAAAGCATAACTCCTGGATTAATTGATCTTTTGAATGTTTTTTTATATCTCAATCTCTTTATATTTTACCTCTGATTTTGGTTATTTCTCATCTTCTGCTAGATTTGGGGTTAGTTTGCTCTTGGTTCCCTAGTTCTTTTAGATGTTAAATGGTGAAATTGAGATCTTCCTAACTTTTTGATGTGGACATTTAGTTCTATAAATTTCCCTCTTAATACTGCTTTGTCTGTGTCCCAATATTCTTGTATGTTGTATCTTTGTTCTCAATAATTTCAAAGAACTAATTAACT
Source organism: Homo sapiens (assembly GCF_000001405.40). Lineage (NCBI taxonomy): Eukaryota > Metazoa > Chordata > Mammalia > Primates > Hominidae > Homo > Homo sapiens. The sequence goes on from NC_000002.12 coordinate 188,691,217, forward strand.
ACTGCATTAATTTCATTATTTACCGCAAAAACATTCAGAAGCAGGTTATTTCATTTTCATGTAACTGTATGGTTTTGAGTGATTTTCTTAGTCTTGATTTTTAATTTTGTTACACTATGGCTGAGAGAATGGTTGGTATGATTTTAGTCCCTTCACATTTGCTAAGGATTGTTTTTTGTCCAATTATGTGGTTGATTTTAGAGTATGTGCCATGTGCTGATGAGAATAATGTATATTCTGTCGTTTTTGTGTGAAGAATTCTGTAGATGTTTATCAGATCCATTTGATCCAATGTTTAGTTCATGTCCTGAATATCTTTGTTAATTTTCTGTCTTAATGATCTGTCTAATACAGTCAGTTGGGTGGTTGAAGTCCCCCACTATTATTGTGTGGGAGTCTAAGTCTCTTTGCAGGTTTCTAAGGACTTGCTTTGTGAATCAGTTAGGTCTTCTTGTTGAATTGAACCACTTACCACTATATAATGCATTTCTTTGTCTTTTTTTTTCTTTGTTGGCATAAAGTCTGTTTTGTGTGAAATTAGGAATGCAAACTCTGCTTATTTTTCTATTGGCTTGGTAGGTTTTTCTCCATCCCTGTATTTTGGGCCTATGAGTATCATTGCATGTGAGATGGGTTTCTTATGGTAACAAATTTCCTAAGCATTTGCTTGTCTGAAAATATTCTTATTTCTGCTTCGCTAATAAAGCTTAGTTTGGCCAGATATAAAATTGGCTAGAATTTCTTTTCTTTAAGAATGATGTATATTGACCCCCAATTTCTTCTGGTTTGTAGGGGTTCTGCTGAGAGGCCCGCTATTAGTCTGATGTGCTTTTCTTTGTAGGTAACCTGACCTTTTTCTCTAGCTGCTTTTCACATTTTTTCCTTCATTTCAACCTTAGAGAATCTGATGATTATGTATCCTGGTGATGATCTTCTTGTGAAGTATCTGACTGGGGTTTTCTGCATTTCCTGAATGTGAATGTTGGCCTCTCTAGCTAGGTTGGGGAGGTTATCATGAATGATATCCTGAAATAAATTTTACAAGTTGCTCCCATTGTTTTCTTCTCTTTCAGGGACACCAATGAGTTACAGAATTGGTCTCTTTACATAATCCCTTATTTCTTAGAAGTTTTGTTCATTCCTTTTCATTCTTTTTCTTCTGTTCTTGTCCGACTGTCTTATTTCAGAAAGCCAGTCTTCAAGCTCTAAGATTCTTTCATCTGCTTGCTCTATTCTGCTGTTAATATTTGTGATTGCATTATAAAATTCTTGTAGTGTGTTTTTTAGCTCTATCAGGTTGGTTACATTATTTTCTAGGCTGGCTATTTTGTCTGTCAGCTCCTGTTTCATTTATTGTCATTCTTAGCTTCCTTGGATCGGGTTTCAACGTACTCCTGCATCTTGATTATCTTCATTTCTACCCATATTCTGAATTATATTTCTGTCATTTCAGCTTCTCAGCCCAGTTCAGAACCCTTGCTGTAGACTTAGTGTGGTTATTTGGAAAAATAAGGCACTCTGGCTTTTTGAGTTGTCAGAGTCCTTGCGCTGGTCCTTTCTCATTTTTGTTGACTGATACTCCTTCAGTCTTTGAAGTTGCTGTTGTTTTGATGTTTTTTTCTTTTTTTCTTTTATCCTATTTGATCACTTTGAGGGTTTGATTGTGTTATAAGGTAGATTCAATCAACTGATTTTGTTTCTGAAAGATTTATGGGGCCAAGGCTCAGTTCCCAACTCCTCTACTGCATGCTCAAACTCTGTGGGACTGGTATCAAGCCCAGATTTGTTCCTTGCACAGAGGTAGGGTGCTGGTGGGGGTGGGGCTGGTAGGCTTTGTGCCCAGCAAGGCTCTGAGTGCAATGACAGTATGACAGAAAGTGGGGGTAGAATGCACTCACACTGCCGGCAGTGGCAGGGCAAGGTACATACATACATATGCAATGGTGGGTCAGGGAAGGCAAGATTCATCTCCCACACACATGTACCAGCAAGGAGAGGTAGGGTTGGCCATGGGCCTGAGGGAAGCTGCAGTGTAGACAGGGAGCAGGTGGGTTGGTGCATCTTTGCTGGGGCTGCTCTGCTGGAGCTCTACTTGTCAGACAGGTCCAACAGTGCAGGAGGTATGAGTCAGGCCTCCGGGGCACCCGTGGCTACACTGCAAGTAGGTGCAGTCAGGCTGGGGCCCCAGGACATAGCAGAACAAGGTGTATTAATGTGTTCTCACATTGGTATAAAGAACTACCTGAGACTGGGTAATTTATAAAGAAGAAAGGTTTTCTTGTGTCGTGGTTCCACAACCTGTGTAGGAAGCATGCTGGGGAGGCCTTAGGAAACTTAAACCAAGGCAGAAGTCGAAGGGAAAGCAGGTATGTTCTGTATCACTGGAGCAGAAGGAGGAGAGCTCAAGGAGGTACTACAGACTTTTAAACAACCAGATCTCATGAGAACTCACTCATTATCATGAGAATAGTGAGGAGGAAATCTGCTTCCATTATCCAATCACCTCACACCAGGCCCCTCCTCCAACAATAGGGATTACAATTTGACATGAGTCTTGGGCAAGGACACAGATTCAAACTATATCACAAGGGGATGCTCAGGTTGGACCAGCTCTGTCTAATGGCCAAGACCACCCTGCAGAGTTCAGGTCCAACAGTTCCCCTAGGGCTAAGTTCCCTCTGGGAACCAGTCAAGCCTAGGGGAATGGGTTTCCCTGGCTGTGCTCCACTACACACGATTTTCCATCAAACCCTGTGAGCTCCACACTGACTGGAGTGCTACTGCTACCACTTTTCTAAGCAGCTCTCCCTGCCGACTCAAGTATCCAGGGTTGTCAGTGGGTCTCTTCCTGTCAGGATTCCAGAGGTCTGAGAACCACCATATTCTTTTCTATTTCACTGGAGGCATGGGGGAAGAATGTAACTTATAAAAACAAAGAATTGTAATGGACAATTGAGGGACTAAGAAAAAAACACTCGTGGTCTACCCAATATCACATACTGCTACATATACTAGCTAAACAAAATTACTAAGCTGATTCCCAGCTTTTCTGAAAAAAATCTATAGCTGAGCTCTTCATAACCATCCCTCTCTCTGCTTCTTGAATCAATTACTTTGAAGCAGGCAGAGTTCCTCCTCCTTTTTCTTCCATGGGTCTTTGACTGTTTACCTTCACTATCTCTATGTCAGAAGTTATTTACCTTTTTGGGGTACGGCCATCTAAAGAAGCCTATATATGTCTCAAGGTAATAATTTTTAAATTTTTAAAATAAAATATCATATTGAGGACTTCAGAGGAAACCAATTGCATTTAAATGTTTTTATTAAAATGTTAAGGAAAATTTTGTCATATGTAATGATGTACTTTGTTAAAAATACAATAAATAAAATTATTGGCAGCAAGTCTATTGCCTACTATATTGTGTTCACGGTAAGTTTTGTTTTGAAATATCTGCAATATTTGTAATGTTAAGGAATACATCTGTTTTCTATTGATGACAATGTCACAGTTATGCTACTACTGTTCTGTATTTAAAACTTACATTTATAATTGAAGGAAATGCTAAATTTTTGTTGGAGTTTAGTTAGAATATACATGTAGTTTATTTTCATACAAATGTTTAGGCCCTGAGAATTCCTTCTGGAAATACAGTTCAAATCTAGAAAAATTGTGAAGGGAAGTAGAAGTGAACTGTTAACAGTATCATGTTTTCTGGGAAGCACAGTTTGCATGAGTAAAACAGAACAAAATGGAATTAGGGCAACGTTTGATGGCATGTTATGTTTGTAAATTATACTTTCCCTGTACTCTCTCAACTTCAAGTATCAAAAGCTGAGTTATAGGAACCAGAGGGAAAATACCATCACAATGTAGAAGAGGTAACCCCTGCAAAACTATGATAGCAAAACTAAACTGGCCTACAAACAATATACATTCAACATGTTTGAAATCCAAAGGCAACGAGAATGTTCTTTAAGCATCAAAACACAACAATTCATACACACAAATACAAACTGGTTGGCTACTTATAAGGGACTAAAAGGAAGCCAGCCTCAGACTCTCTGCCACATGAATAAAGAGAACAGAATGGAATACTATTTAGCATTGTTTCGGCAAATTGTCACTGAAGACATAAATACTTTGACATATTTTCTTTCATAAGGAAAGCAACAGAAAGGCATAAAATTACTTAAATATGTAATTCAAAAAAATAAAGATCATGGTAAAATTAATAGCATAACAAAGGAAAAATATTAACATTAAATGAATGAAGGACAGAACTAAATCTAGTTAGACAAGAGATAATTGCAAATATTTCAAGCATCAATACAAATGTCAAAAACTTTATATATACTTACATAAGTATACATTTACAATTATTCACTTATTTACTACTTTTTAAAGTACAAATTATACTCTAGCTCTAAAATGCCAAATTAACTAAACTCAATTAAATTAACTAAACTACAATTTTCATAGAGAATTGGGAAAGGAAAGAAGAGAGAACGTTAATGGCTGCTTAATTCCTGATACCAAGGAGGAGGTATTTAAAATGCTGTTGGATAGAAATCTAGAATTGATCAAATCAAAACCAAAGTGAAACAAAAGGCATTAAAAAAGATGAATGCCTCATAAAAACAGGATATCTAACATTAACATGTCAGTAGAGAAACCAAAGCAAATTTCATTAAGTAGGAATCACAGGATATTTATTAAGGGCTTGTATATGATGAAAATGTAATTGTTTATTTGTACATGACAGTAGACAAAGCAAAACATACAGGAAAAAACACACTAAAAATGAGAGAAAAAAGAAAAACTTACTTCACTTTCCTCCTTCATAACTCATTGAAAACATCAAAAAGAAAGAACAGTAGGGGAAAATATTTCATCAGTGATACAACAAGACAGCCATAACCTCAAACCACAAACCATCACGTATACTTGCCAAAACTGTAAAGCCTGGACTCAGATGGGAACGTGATGAGAGTTGACATTTGTTGCGTTTAAACTTTACCCAACTACATATTTCCCAAAGTAAACATCACCTTCACAAAAGGCAACACAACTATAGTTTGATTAGAAAGCTTAGATCTAGCTCAGTATTGGACACAGGTTTTCTGTGGAATGTCTAGAAAGAAACACAGTTTAGAATAATGAGGTAGAGAAGTAAAGAGAAAAATAAAGCTGATAAGTAATTTCTTTTATTTAGGATTTGGTTTCCCAGGTCAAGAAGACTGTGAGAGTGAAGTAGAGTAGAAAGATAAAAAGAGCAGCCATACCACAAAACAAAGGGTGTTAAAACTGAACAGGAATTACTGTGAGCCCCCATGGGTCCCTCAAAGATAAAACTAGAAAGGAGTTGTGTCCTTAGCAGGAAGAACTGAGTAAGAGTACAAAGAAAATAGAAGGATGCATGTTCTAGAAAATAAAGTCACTCTGTTCCTTATTTCTAACTGCCTCTCTTTACAATATATTTTGGTGCAACCAGTGCTCATTCAAAAATGAGTTTTGTCAGAAATAAACAAATTAAGTTATTGTACGTCAAAACTGCCACCATAAAAGGAATAGACATATAATCAAAAGGTAACTCATAGACCTCAAGAAAAATCACTCTGCCAAAATACAGGAAATAGTAGAAAATTATCTTTTATAATCCCTAAAAAATGAGAGGTAACTACATCCTTTTTAAAGAAGCACAGAAATGAGAGAGAATAGTTTTATGAAATCATAAGATGATAAGGGTGCAAATGTAAAGCTTGATAACAGAGCATGGGGAAGTAAATTAAAATAAGCAAGGTGCTATAAAAACTAAAAAGAATAAAATGACTGAAAATAATATCAGAAACATGTGGCTAGGTTTATAACAAAAGGAAAATACCAAGTAATTAAAAAGCACTACAAAAAATTTAAAGTATGGAAATAAAGAACATTTGGGCCACACATGATTGGTGGTTTTGAAAAAAGCAGAACTCATAGAATACAAAATCTATTCAACTTTATAACAGGAAGAAACTTTAACTGAAATAGGAGACTGGACTCCAGAGATTTATGATACAAACAGTTTACCAGAAGAAATGAGAGAGAACAATAGACATCAGATATGTTTCAGGTATTCAACATCAGTTACGATTAGTGCCCAGACAGAAGGCAGTAGGCGTTTACACCAGAAGATAATGCATTCTATCCATTAAATGATTTCTACAAAATATCTACAAATGATGTTCTTCTTTTGACAGAAAGGAAGTACCCCATATTTTTGCCTAGGTACATTTTTGTCCAGTGTAACAACAGCAGACAGATGATCATAAGTGCCTATGAACTATTATTAACATAAATTATGAAAGGAGTAAGAAAAATGAGAGACATATAAATGTACATTATATCGTCTCTACTAATAGAGAGTAAATAGAAAGTTTGCTAATTGAAGTGTAATTTCAAAAACTCCAGACATGTCTATAAATCTAATAATTTATGTCAAAGATATGTGGGGATTTTATTTTGCTATTTTTGCATATTAACTGTAATGTCAAATTTTTCAAAATAAGATTAAAAACTCCAAACACTTCAATTTTTTGTCTTTTTAATCTTAATGTTAGAAGGATATTTTCAGAAATAATACAATTTTTGATAAAGAAAAAATTGCCTGAAATGTAGCAATTCTACAGGTTTTACAGCAATTTGGAAGTTACATCCAATTAAAATTAAATATAATCATTTAATTAAGACTAGAATACATCTTGAATATTAAGTTAATATATACATTTTTTTTGCTCTAGGAGAGTTGTCTACAATTATGTTGATCAAATGTTATTGATGTTTCCAGTAATTAGGATTTGGGAGATTAACCAAAACCACCCTTCCCACATTTATGGAAAGCATAGCTTTTTAAAATTAAATAATGAGCAAGTAAAAGAATATATATTATTTTGTTCATATACTTTGCCCACTTTTTCATGGGGTTGTTTTTTTCTTGTAAATTTAAGTTTCTTGTAGAATCTGGATATTAGCTCTTTGTCAGATGGGTAGATTGCAAAAATTTTCTCCCATTCTGTAGGCTGCCTGTTTACTCTGACGATAGTTTCTTTTGCTATGTAGAAGCTCCTTAGTTTAATTAGATCCCATTTGCCAATTGTGGTTTTTGTTGCAATTGCTTTTGGTGTTTTAGTCATAAAGCCTTTGCCCATGTGTATGTCCTGAATGGTATTGCCTAGGTTTTCTTTCAGGGTTTTTATGGTTTTAGGTCTTATGTTTAAGTCTTTAATCCATCTTAAGTTAATTTTTGTGTAAGGTGTAAGGAAGGTGTCCAGTTTCAGTTTTCTGCATATGGCTAGCCAGTTTTCCTACATCATTTATTAAATAGGGAATCCTTTCCCCATTGCTTGTTTTAAGAAGACATTTATGTGGCCAACAAACATGAAAAAAAGCTCATCATCACTGGTCATTAGAGAAATGTAAATGAAAACCACAATGAGATACCATCTCACACCAGTTAGAATGGTGATCATTAAAAAGTCAGAAACAACAGATGCTGGAGAGGATGTGGAGAAGTAGGAATGCTTTTACACTGTTGGTGGGAGCGTAAATTAGTTCAACTATTGTGGAAGACAGTGTGGCGATTCTGCAAGGATCTAGAACTAGAAATACAATTTGACCCAGCAATCCCATTACCGAGTATATACCCAAAGGATTATAAATCATTCTACTCTGAAGACACATGCACGCATATGCACACTATTCACAATAGCAAAGACTTGGAACTAACCCAAATGCCCATCAATGATAGATTGGATAAAGAAAATGTAGCACATATAACCATGGAATACTATGCAGCCATAAAAAAGGATGAGTTCATGTCCTTTGCAGGGACATGGATGAAGCTGGAAACCATCATTCTCAACAAACTAACACAGGAACGGAAAACCAAGCACCACATGTTCCCTTTCATAAGTGAGAGTTGAACAATGAGAACACATGGACACAGGGAGGGAAACATTACACACTGGGGCCTGTTGAGGGGTGGAGGGCAAGGGGAGGGAGAGCATTTGGATAAATACCTAATACATGTGGGGCTTAAAACCTAGATGACTGGTTCATGGGCTCAGCAAACCACCATGGCTCATGTATACCTATGAAACCTGCACGTTCTGCACATGTATCCCAGAACTTAAAGTGTATTACAAAAAAAAAAAAAAAAAAAAAGAACATGGAGCACCTAGAACTTACACATTGCAGCAGGAAAGCAGTTTGGCAGATTCTTATAAAGTTAAACTCAACAAGACCCAACAGCGCCACTCTGCAAGAGGGCCTGTTGGGAGGTCAGGGGCTAGGGGAGGGATAGCATTAGGAGAAATACCTAATGTAGATGATGGGTTGATGGCTGCAGCAAACCACCATGGCACGTGTATACCTATGTAACTTACCTGCACGTTCTGCACATGTATCCCAGAACTTAAAGTATAATAATAAAAAAGAATATTTTAATATATCTTCTTTATGTGTGTGTATATATGTATGTATGTATATACATATAAACACATATGGAGAAATTGCCAGAAACATAATAGTAGTAAAAAGGTACTTGTTTTAGGCTTGAAAATCATATATATAATTTGGAAAAAATATTTTTATTAAGTTTGTTACATGTTCCACTACTATAGAATATACCTTCCTTTCAACTAGCTAAAAAATCACTTGCAAATAATATTGTTTGTTACAAAGTAACATTACAAGAAAAATTCAATGAACGCTATCATGAACATGACTGAACATGGGTTTCCATAGCACATAAAAATGTCACCATATTGAAAAGTAAATATACATTTGCTAATAAAGAACCTGAGCATGAACAGAAGATGTGAGAAGTAGTTAAAAAATTATTAAATACTTTATAAACACCATTGTACTTAAGAAATTGAAAATAATGGCACAAAAACTTCTATTTTGAAGTTTGGGCTATTTTAAAACTGAAAATTAATGTTTTAAGAGTGAGATTAGAAAGACAATCCTCATAGAATTCTTTTGAGTTAGAAAATTGGAACAATGTAAAGGAAAATTTTCTTCCAGTGTAGTCAATTGTTTAAAAACTATTTCTTGCAATGTGTTCCCAAATTTTGACTTCTAGGAATTTGTCTTAAGGAAAAAGGTATTTTGACAATGATTCTGAAGCTATTGTTGGTGTGGTATGACATGGTGGTTAAGAGAGATTCCAGAGAAGATTTGCATGAATTAAAATCTTATTATCTGTCACTTTCTATCTGACGTTAATCTCACTTGCCTCAGTTGCTCATCTGTAAAATTAGGATAACTATAGCTAAGGAGTTGTTATGAGAATTTAATGAGTCTATATAGAAATTTGATTGGAATAATGCAGAGATAGCTAGTGTTAACTATTTTGTTCTATCCAAATATCCCATAATAGTGGTATTTATAACAACAAACACTATAACCAACCTAAATATCTAAAACTATTAGGATAATTAAAAAAATTATAATCTACATATAGAATTATGAAATCACTATAAAAGATATTTATTGACATGAGAACTATCATCTATAGATTACACTGAAGCTTTAATTGAGGCGGATTATGAAAGTTATCTAAAGAAAGTCTTCAAATAATCCTAAATCTAGATAAATATTCCAAAATGTTTATATAATCTAGTGATATATGCCCTATGATTTTCTTTATATTTATTGCATTTTACAAATTTATACATGTATCAAATTTTTATATTGAATGCATGTTACTTTAATAATCAGACATTAATGCTTTAAAAAATAAACTGATTCAAATAAATACACAGTAACTGCTTAAAAATCTAAAATGTATTTTTCTTGAATTTTGTGGCTCATGAACAACTAATGTTTGGCTACATTTTAATTTTATACATTAATTAGATAGTAAATGTATTGTGGAATGTTTAGATTGGCTAATAAATAATAAATTTGTTTCATCTTTTAAGTAAAAATTTAAAATTTATAAGCAGGATGTTTTTGAAAGGTTAAATGGATTATAAGCCAATATTATCCTTCTTTAGATTTACTATACCATTATTGTTATTTCCATAAGGTTGCTACTTTCTTTACTATGTGCTCCTAGTATACGTTAAATAGAAAAAAGAAAAACTGTACTGAATGAGAAGACTTTCTAATTATATTCCTTAGAGAAAAGAGTCAGTATATGAGAGGGAATAAAAACACTCTAATTTGTGGCTGTAAGTATAAAAAATTAACAAAGGAAAATTCTATTTTCTTGGTTTGTTATCATGTGAAAAACAAGCCATCAATTTTAATTAAAAAATAAAAACTTTACATACTTTTCTGTTGAGAACATATCTAATAGAAAATTTTAAAACAAAATTAACAGAGAAAAAAGAAAAACATTGGAGAAATAAGAAGCATCTTATTTCAAATAAAAACAATTCTCACACAAGGAAAATGTTAGACAAGTCACTGTTTTTAAAATGCTGTATCCCATTATATTTAAGTTTCTATTGTGTCTGTAATAACCTAGAATGAA